>NC_000023.11:84583754-84886784 GCF_000001405.40 Homo sapiens | reverse complement strand
TACCTAGTTTATGGCTCTGTTACCTAAATAAATAGATATTTAATAGGATTCCATTTCATATAAACAAGATTAGTGTGATTTTAAACATAGATTAGTGGTTTATTGACAATCTCCACTCCTGTCCTCCACTAATGGCTCTCCCGTGGAGAGTCTAGTAAACACATTTTTTTCTCAATGCACATAGTAGGCACTCAAAGTTTCTTGCATTGAATTTATTTGAGAGAGGATTCATAGTCATGAAAGGCTAGATTGTGTTACAAAGGAATGATGTGTGTTTGAGGTGATAGGTATCCTAAGTACCCTGATTTGATCAGTATACATTTTATGCATGTATTAAAGTACCCCATGTACCCCATAAATATGTACAATTATTATGTATCAATTTAAAAAGAAAATAGTGTTAATTTCTCAGTCTGAGAAAAGGGATCACTTCAATAGTTGTCAACTAATAGTTATTGGTTGTCTATAGCCAAGTACTATAATGGTTACAAAGACCAATAAGGCAGAGTCCCGACTCTTATAAGGCTTGTAAAATATCTGACCAATAACTATACTGAGATTCACCAAGTCTGAGATGTTTGGAAGTCTAAGACAATTAAGACAATTTAGTTTTATCACCTCATTTCATTTATTTGCAAATTGAGGTTCAGAGAGATTCAATACTGTGTCCAAGGTAATACACATTGTTAGCAACAAAACCAGGTCTAGAACCAGTGACCCTGAATCCTGGCCAGTCTTCTTTCTCTTACATGCTATTGCCTGATATTAGGCTTAGATACAAAAAAGTAGACATGTATCTCTGACATATTTTCCCCAGATATTTTGCACCTTATCTAAAGACCTATCTTGAGATTAAGTATCAAGCTGTCATTCAGTAGCTTACTTGAGCAAAAATTTATAGGAGGGTTTATAAGAGGGCTTATGCAGGATTTTTGTAAAATATATGAATGTGTCTGACTCCACCCGCAATGTTCTACCTCCTCCCAGTCTATGGAAAAATGTCTCCACAGAGTAAGATATCTTTAGTTTAATAATTTAAAATAAGTGGTATTTGTAAAACACCTAAATTTGAACAGTACAAAAGACCACCATGGTTGAGAAGAGAAAATACAAAGTTATACTCTGTGTTTTCATGTCTGTTTTTCATCTCTTTTGTACATCTTCATCAAAGTCACATTGACAAACCTAATGGGAAGCAGCACATTTAGTGATTGTGGACAGAGCATGGTGAAAAATTTGTTAGGGATATCATCACTAAGATCACTTTTTATTTATAACATTTATCACTGTATCACCTCAGTTTCATCACATCTTTAAGTCTTTAATACCTTTTCTTTTTGAGAGAGTCTCACTCTGTCACCAAGGCTGGAGTGGAGTGGCACAATCATAGCTCACTGCAGCCTCGACCTCCTGAGGCGCAGGTGATCTTCCCACCTCAGCCTCCTCAGTAGCTGGGACCACAGGTGCAAGCCACCACAACATTTGGCCAATTAAAAAATGAAAATTGTTGTAGAGATGGGGTCTTGTCATCTTGCCCAGGCTGGTCTTGAACTCCTGGTCCAAGAGATCCTTCCACCTCAGCCTCCCAAAGTTCTGGGATTACAGGAGTGAGCCACTGCACCCAGCCTTTAATAAATTTTTTCAGGGGATATCTTAACGGACTTTGAGTCTTATCAGTTGACAGAATAATTAGCATCTAGATAGGCAAGTTAGAACTGCTTTCAGAAAACCTCATCTGATAACTATTCAAATTCATCATAGTTATATCTCTGCTAAAAAATATATGATATTGGGGAAGCTTTATGAAGCTTGAATGATTGGATGAAAGAGAGATAATCATTAAAAAGATCTGCGCTTCATATTACTGGAATTTCTTATTTATAAAATGAAATGACCATTTAAGATTTCAGAAATACATGTGAGTTATTTGAAAGACTGCTTTAGAACTGGCACATTGTAACTACTTACCCAAGAGAGTAACACTAAAAGGACAACGATGATTATTGTATGCATGAATTTTAAAAGAAATTATTAGTATTCTTGAGGGAAGTCAAACAATGCCTCATTTAAGGTGTCAAATTATATCTTTTATGCATTATTAAAACAAAATACAGAGCAGCTTCTGTGTGGACAGAGTGGGTTTCACTCAAAAGAACAAGAATTCTAAGAGCTCCTAAATGTGATCTGGGCTCAGAATCGTTATTTGGATTTGCTTTCATTCCATCTCTATTGCTAAGAAGTTTTTTTTTTAAAGGGATAATTGCTTGTTTAGTTCTTATTGTCTTCTAATTTTAATACTTTATTTTATACATGTAAAAATTGGATTACTTATGTAAGTACCTGCTATCTTACATTTACAAATTATTATTATTATTGTATTAGTCCATTCTCAGGCTGATGCAAGAGGTGGGTTCCCATGGTTTTGGGCATCTCTGCCCACATGGCCTTGCAAGGTACAGCCTCCCTCTGGCTGCCTTCATGGCTGGCGTTGAGTGTCTGTGGCTCTTCCAGGTACATGGTGCAAGCTGTCAGTGGATCTACCATTCTGGGGTCTGGAGGATGGTGGTCCTCTTCTCACAGCTCCACTAGGCAGTACTCCAGTAGGGACTCTGTATGGGGACTCCAACCCCACATTTCCCTTCCGCACTGTCAGAGCAGAGGTTCTCCATGAGGGCCCTGCCCCTGCAGCAATCTTCTGCCTGGGCAGCCAGGCATTTCCATACATCTTGTGAAATCTAGACAGAAGTTCCCAAACCACAATTCTTGACTTCTGTGCACTCGCAGGCTCTACACCACATGGAAGCTGCCAAGGCTTGGGGCTTGCACCCTCTGAAGCCATGACCCAAGCTCTACATTTGCTCCTTTCAGGCACAGCTGGAGCAGCTGTGATGCACAGCACCAAGTCCCTAGGCTGCACAAGCAGGGAGACCCTGGGCCCAGCCCAGGAGACCACTTTTTCTTCCTAGGCCTCCAGGCCTGTAATGGGAGGGGCTGCTGTGAAGACCTCTGACATGCCCTGGAGACATTTTCCACATTGTCTTGAGGATTAACATTTGGCTCCTTGTTACTTATGCAGATTTCTGTAGCCCACTTGAATTTCTCCTCAGAAAATGGGATTTTCTTTTCTATAGCATTGTCAGGCTGCAAATTTTCCAAACTTTTATGCTCTGTTTCCCTTTTAAAATGGAATCCCTTTAACAGCACTCAAGTCTTCTCTTGAATGCTTTGATGCTTTGAAGTTTCTTCCCACAGATATCCTAAATAATCTCTCTCAAGTACAAAGTTCCAGAAATCTTTTGGGCAAGGGCAAAATGCTGCCAGTCTCTTTGCTAAAACATAATGAGAGTCACCTTTGCTCCAGTTACCAAGTTGCTCTTCTCCATCTGAGACCACTCAGCCTGGATTTCATTGTCCATATCATTATAAGCAGTTTGCATTAAAAGAGTAATCGATCCATAATTTAACTTAATTCATTCACTCAAAAAATATTTTTCAAATTCATATCTGTAGCAGACACTCCTCTAGGTGCTGGGAACGCAGTGGCAAACAAGGCAAAGTCCCTGATCTTATGCTCTCAGATTTGTTTTAAAGGAGGAAAGACACAATAAGCAAGTACTTATATATAAAGATATAACGATAAAGATATAAAGATAAAGATAAAATAAGCATGTAAATAAATACATGATTTCAGGGAGTGATGTGTGCTAACTTTTTAAATCTGATGATCTGCTTCCTAAATTAGACACTCTGGTGCTAATAGCCTTCAAATTGAAAATGGTAAGGAACTTTCTAATGGTAAGGAATACTCTTATTAAAACTATCTGTGGTATCTTCACTCTTTCATAACCAACAATCAAAATGCTATTCCATCAGAAGTACCATGTGCAGCTAGTTTTCCAAATTCTGCTCTCACAATTGCACAAAGAAAATATAATCTACTAATTCACACTCCATTATTGATGATGAGTAATGGCTTTGTATGTTACCTCTTCCAGAATTACATTTTAAAGTATCTAGCGTCTTAACACTAAATAAGTAAATACTGCAAGTCCCTTCTCTCTCCTTTCCCTCATCCCTCATTTTATCTCTTGCTCACCTTTGAGCACATACAAAATCCACACCTTAAAAACCACTTACTCAGGGGCTGTTGGGTAAACATGAAAGATGGAGACATGACTGACTTACTATTTCTGGTTTCTACCCTTCATTTTTGTTCAGAATAATGTCTCAGTTAATATATGAGGCCTATGGTCTGTCATCTAGAAAGTTTGTCAGCTTTTTAAATTGCCTTTATTCTCAAGTGTGACTTTTCTTCAGTGTCTACATATTATGTCACACGTTCTATTGGCACTGCTGCAATATAGATCAAAAATCTTGTGGCATAGGGATAGGGGAATGTTACTGTCTCCCTTGTCCCATTTGTTCTGTTACTGCTTTATTGGACTAATCTACCCTCATGAACTTGTGATCACCTAAATGGAAGTTTTGAATATGTCACCTTTTGCTTGGTTATTTCAACCATGCTGCTATATATAATCAGGTGTGGCACAGTTTGTCAGTTTGATTCCAGGTGTGAGTGGATAGAAATCATTACACTGTGCTGTTAACGATCCTTGTCTGCTTGCTGTTACCTACTTTTTAAAGGCATCATAATAAAAGCTAGACTATTTCTTTGGGGGAAAAGAAACTTATTTAATGTAATTTTAAAAACTTTTCCAATAGAAAATGAAATATTATTGAAAATAATATCTATTTTTTAGGTTTCAGCAATTCATGGTGCTTTGTTGTGGTGTCTGCTGGAAGTCTACTGCCATTATAGGGAACCTTGCCTGGTACCTTCTCTAGATCTCTATTCTAAACAATCTGTCAGTAATGATAAATTCTGTAGGAGGGTCTATTCTGAGCCGTTAACTTCCTGTAAGGGGAAAATGGGTGGGTTATCAGAAATACCACTGAAGCAACGTGGGCTGTGGGTTGGGGTATTTGTCTTGAGAATTAAAAACTACGAAACACTTTTGTACACAAGTGATTTTTTAAAAAATAAACACATTTTTAAAGATGTTGAATTTTCCCCCCATTATTGGGAATTCTTAAAAATAAATCCATGCATGTTTTCCCCTGAAAAAAAAAAAAAAGTTTGTCAGTTTTTATGCAACTATACTCTTGAAAAATATTCTACATATACTTCCATCTTTTGTCAGCCTCATGAATGTATGCAACTATTATGTATTCCTAATAATTAAAAATGAAAATATTTAAATGTTTTCCAGTTGTCTACGATGCTTCTTAAGTTTCCTAGGTATCAAGGTGATAATTGATATAAAGAGAACAACCATTTTCTAACTCACAATAGCTTCATATATTGCAGTTTATTTTTGTTGCATTATACTTACAAATTCAATCAGGTTTTAAGAAAAATGAAGTCAGACCATTTAGTCAAAATAAGACTAAATTTTCTAGAGACATTAGTAAAATTTTGCATAAGTAGATGGTTTTCTATACTTGAGAGGAAAATACCAAGTATTTAGTTTCTAAAGTTTATAATTCATTTCTGGCTTTTGAAATTTCTTTAAATATTGACTGACTTCATTCTTCCTTAGGCTTTCTGGCCTATCACTGTAGGGCCATTTACTGCTGAGAGGGAAAGTGAATAGGCTAATGTGAAAACAGCTTATGGACAGTCAAACACATCCAACACAATTGACTTCAAAGCAACTGTATTTATTTTGATTTTGTGGGGTTTTTTTGTTTAAAAAGCGAATTACCTAATATTTCTGCTAATATTAAACTCATTAGGTTGAGGATTTTTTCTTTTACATCAAATGAATTTAAAGATGATTATTTGTGTGGAGTTTTTCTTGAAAGAGGTTAAAATAGGAGCAGAATTTGAGCCATCTGTTGGATAATATTTGAAAAACTAGTAAAAGTCTGTTAGAATGATACATTACCAATAGACAAGGAAGTCTTCTATTGCCACTCCTTTTCAGCATAGTATTGGAAGTCCTAGACAGAGCAATCAGGCAGGAGAAAGAAATAATGGTTATCCAAATAGGAAGGGAGGAAGTCAAACTGTCTCTGTTTGCAGATGACATGATTCTACATCTAGAAAACCCCAAAGTCTTGGCCCAAAAGCTTCTCCAGCTGATAAGCAACTTCAGCAAAGTTTCTAGAACACAAAATCAATGTACCAAAATCACTAGCAGTCCTATACACCAACAACAACCAAGTCAAGGGCCAAATTAGAAGGGAAATCCTATTCACAATTGCCACAAAAAGAATAAAATACTTAACAATACAGCTAACCAAGGAGGTGAATGATCACTACAAAGAGAATTACAAAACACTGCCCAAAGAAATGGCCATACTGCCCAAAGGAAATTAAAGATTCAATGCTATTCCCATCAAACTATCAATGACATTCTTCACAGAACTAGAAAAAACTATTTTAAAATTCATATGGAACCAAAAAGAGCCCAAATAGCCAAGGCAATCGGAAGAAAAGGAAAACAAAGCTGGAGGCATCATAGTACCTGACTTCAAACTATACTACAAGGCTACAGTAATGCAGACAGCATGGCACTAGCACAAAAGCAGGCACATAGACCAACAGAACAGAATAGAGAGCCCAGAAATAAGGCTGCACACCTACAACCACCTAATCTTTGACAAGGCTGACAAAATCAAGCAATGAGGAAAAGACTCCCTATTGAATAAATGGTGCTGGGATCACTGGCTAACCATATGCAGAAGAATGAAGTTGGACCCCTTCCTTACACCATACACAAAAATCAACTCAAGATGGATGAAAGACTTAAGTGTAAAACCAAACACTTACATAAAAACCCTAAAAGAAAACCTAGGCAATACCATCCTGGACATAGGAACAGGCAAATTATTCATGACAAAGACAACAAAAGCAATCACAACAAAAGCAAAAATTGACAAGTGGGATCTAATTAAAAGTAAGAGCTCTCTAAAGCAAAGGAAACTGTCAACAGAATAAACTGACAACCTATAGAATGAGAGAAGGTTTTTGCAAACAATGCATCTGATAAAAGTCTAATTTCCAACATCTATAAGGAACTTATACAAATTTATAAGAAAAAACAAGCGACCCTATAAAAAAGTGGATGAAAGACATGAACAGAAACTTTTCTAAAGAAGACATTCAAGTGACCAACAAGCATTTGAGAAAAAACTCAGTATCCCTGATAATTAGAGAAATGCAAATCAAAACCACAGAGAGATAATATCTCACACCTGTCCAAATGGTTATTATTAAAAAGTCAAAAAATAACAGATGCTGGTGAGGTTGTGGAGGAAAGGGAACACTTATACACCCTTGGTGGAAGTGTAAATTAGTTCAACCATTGAGAAAAGCAGTATGGAGAGTCCTCAAAAAGCTAAAATCAGAACTACCATTTGACCCAGCGTTTGCATTACTGGGTATATACCTAGAGGAATATAAATGTTTCTACCATAAAGACACATGCACGTGAATGTTCACTGCAGCACTATTCTCAAGGAGTATAGTAGGTCATGGAATGGACCTAAATGCCCATCAATGACAGATTGGATAAAGAAAATGTGGTACATATTCACCATGGAATACTATACAGTCATAAAAAAAGAACAACATAATGTCTTTTGCAGGAACATGGATGGAGCTTGAGGCTATTTTCCTCAGCAAACTAACAAGAAACAGGACACTAAATGCTGCATGTTCTCACTTATAAGTGGGAGCTAAATGATAAGAACTTATGAACACAAAGAAGGAAAACAACATACATTGGCATCTGCTTGAAGGTGGAGGATGAGAGGGAGAGGAACAGAATAGGTAACTATTGGGTTTAATTCCTGGGTGATGAAATAATCTGTATGACAATTCCTTGTGACATGATTTTACCTATGTAACAAACCTTCGCATGTACCTCGAACCTAAAATAAAAGTAAAAAAAAAAAAGAAAAATTACCAATAAAATGAAGAAGTTTTACTAAAGAGAAAACCATTGGCTTTTTCTGATACAGGTCCTTTCTCAGTGAAATTTGGAAGTTAGTAAGGTTATATTTAATATTTAAGCATTGGAATATTTTATTCCTTGATGAAACTTTATCTCTCACCATCTTTATGTACACCGAGAGTACTCATGATACATTCTTGCACCGATTAAAACCAGATCCGAGGAGTAAATATTATAGGTTTACCACACATAACTGGCAAAATTTAATATATTCCATTTGCCAGTTAGATTTGCATTTCCTTGAAAGACAAAATTTCAAACCAAAGGAATGAATTTTGAATTCAAAATCAGAAGCTTGGCATCAATAAACCGATATGGAAGTTATTTTGGGGGTCCTCTATATAAAGTCAGTCATTTTTAGTTTGGAAACATGAAAGACTTAATATGCCAATGAACAATGGCCAGGCAATATATGAAAACAGAACTCTGATCCACAACCTCTGCAGCAACCTGTCCAGGAAGAAAAATCACATCTTCTGCAGCAATCAGTCCAGATGAGTCAGGACTTAGTCAATAACTGCCAACTTCTCTAATTTTTGTCCCCCTTTCCAACTCAGAACGAACCTTAGAGAGCCAAATATGTTTCTCAAACCAATCACACAGAATGTTCTGCTTCTAGCTAGCCTGCCTCTAGCTTCCCCATGCCTTCAACCTATGATCATAGCATACTTTGTCGCTCCACTTTTTCACTATAGAGCCTTTCTACTCTCCTGCCTCTCTTCCAAATGTAAGTGACAGTGGCTCACTCCCTTGCTATAGCAAGCTCTGAATAAAAATAACCTTGGCTTGTCATTTCAGTGGTCTTCATTTCTTTCTACAATCCTGTTACATAGATATTTTAGAGCCAAGATTTTTAACTGGTTATGTAAATATAGTCGACTAAGAAGCTTAGAAAGTGCAGATGACAGGCCAGGCCATGGTGGCTCATGTCTGCAATCCCAGAACTTTGGGAGGCCGAGGCCAGTGGATCACCTGAAGTCAGCAGTTCCAGACCAGCCTGGCCAAAATGGCGAAACCCCGTCTCTACTAAAAATACAAAAATTAGCCAGGCATGGTGGCACGTTTGTAATCCCAGTTACTCTGGAGGCTGAGACAGGAGAATTGCTTGAACCCTGGCGGCGAAGGTTGCAGTGAGCCAAAACCGTGTCACTGCACTCCAGCCTGGGTGACAGAGTGAGACTCCATCCCATCACCAGCCACCCCTGTGCAAAAAAACAAAACAAACAAACAAAAAAGGACAGATGACCAAGCATCACTCAAGTCCAACTGCATTGATGATAGCAAAACAAACAAACAAACAAACAAAAATGCCTATATTAGTTTTCAAACCTCCCAACTCCAATCTCTTGCCTAGAAAACATCAGGACTAGTTTCAAACTTGTTCTAACAG
Organism: Homo sapiens; assembly: GCF_000001405.40. Classification (NCBI taxonomy): domain Eukaryota; kingdom Metazoa; phylum Chordata; class Mammalia; order Primates; family Hominidae; genus Homo; species Homo sapiens. The sequence continues at coordinate 84,877,373 of NC_000023.11, read as the reverse complement.
ATAAAATTAAATGCTCCTCCACCAGAAGTCATTTGTTTTTTAAATATTTTCGATATTCTTTGAAATGGATCCCTTTAGCATTTCTCATAAACTGTTAACTGAAATCCATAGATGCTGAAGAAACAATGTTAGCACAATGCACATAAAAGAGTCACTTTACCAGAAGAAAGTTGATTGCCCTCAAATATAAGACCAATATAACACTGGTTTGGGAGAGCCATTCTGATCCTCTTATAAATGTAGAAAAGTGATCAGTGATTTGCTGGCTTATGACAAACACTGGCAAGGTTGTTCTTTTGGCAGGGCAGATGTTTTGCATTAAGTAGAATGTGATATCACCAAGAAAACATATTGGGTTTTGTGTTGTATTCAGAACAGAAATAGCTGAGAACAAAAGGCACTTTCAGAAGTATTCCCAGCTATCAATTTCCCTAATGTGTAAAATTCAAAATTTCTAAGCAATATTAGAGGGAGTGCTTGCAAATATTAAAGATGTATTACTCTAATCGCTAATAGTGTATAGTTTACCTAACTATCCCTCCTTTGAAGACTACCTGGGTTATTCAAGTTAATGCGGCACAGGAAGAGCCAAAAGTCAATGTGAATAAAACAATGATAGTTTTATTTTGCCAGCAAGGCAAGTCCACAAATAACCTAGTGTATCTACGACATATACTTGTATACGAAAACTCTTTTCCTCTGTTTTTGCTTCCCAGCTTTGTCTTCATTTGTTTTTAATGGAATTAGGCAAATTTACAGATGGTAAAGCATAAAAATAATTTTAATAAATGATTGAGTGGTTTATTGTCTCTCACAAATCACTTCATTTCCTGAAACTAAGACTGAAAATATCCACAACTAAGGAAAGTTTTGGAAGAAACTTCAGGCAAACAAGTAATGTTTTTTTTTTTTTTGAGACGGAGTCTCGCTCTGTCACCCAGGCTGGAGTGCAGTGTTGCGATCTCGGCTCGCTGCAAGCTCCGCCTCCCGGGTTCACGACATTCTCCTGCCTCAGCCTCCGGAGTAGCTGGGACAACAGGCGCCCGCCACCACGCCCGGAGAATTTGTTGTATTTTTAGTAGAGACGGGGTTTCACCGTGTTAGCCAGGATGGTCTCGATCTCCTGACCTCGTGATCCACCCTCCTCGGCCTTCCAAAGTGCTGGGATTACAGGCGAGAGCCACCGCGCCCGGCCAAACAAGTAATATTTTTTTTCACTTCAATGATGTCATACACTTCCATTGAAAATATAGAAAGAGGAAATTGACACAATGTCTGAGTGTGCAGTGCGAATGCTAGAATGAAAGTGTAAGGGATGGTGTTTGTTGCCCAAGTCATGGTAGGGATATGAATGGTGTGGTATATTAGGGATGGAACTGAAGAAATTGGGAGTTTAAAAATAGTGCTAATTCTGTGCCAGAAGAGAAAGTTCTAATTGCTTCCTGAATGCAAATATCTTGGAGACAAAGAGGACATTAACTGTGATAAAGGGTAAACACCAGAGGGGTGTGGGGTACTGGGAAGAAAAAGTGCATAGTTTTCCAGCTCTAAAATAAGTCTTTCCAACATATTGAAATTACATTTTATAATCTCCTTGAGAGAAAGGAATATGCCACATTATCTTGGATTTAGAATACTTTTTAAATACCTTAAATATTCCTATGCAATTTCTAGATAGGCTGATAAATAATTAGGAGTGCTTGAGGTATATCAGTCATCCAGGTATGGATCAAACTAGTGAGAAAATATGCAAATATTTTAACATATTTGTAAAATTTTTATTTTGGTATTTTTAAAATTATAAATTATAAAGAAGGCATGTGACTATTCAAAACCACGGATTAAAGGTACCATCTGACATTTTAAAAGCATATGTAAAATCAAATCCACTAGAGCTTTACTGTCCTTAGAATCCATGCCCTCAGTTGACAAAAATAGAGGACACTACTTCATAATAAGGTCCTTTTGATAACTTTATTACCTACATTCCTCAAAATGGCATTCCTGATGGCCTAGAATATAGAGAATACCAGTAAACAATGTTTACAGTGAGACTCTAATATATAAATATGATCTATTCTATGACTATTTTGGAGTCTAAAAAGCTTTTTGAAATACCACGTTATCCATGGAAACACTCAAATACTTTTCACTTACATAAAATTACTCATTGCATCTTATTTAATATCTCCAAAATGTAACATTTTGGAGGGCTTTTCCCTTCCATTTAGTTTCTTTTGTGTTTGCAGTTGAAATCTACACAATTTCTTCCATTCTCTCTCTCTCTCTATATATATATATACACACACACACACATATATACACATATGTGTATAAATATATATATTTAATATATATAAATATATATTTTAATATATAAATATATATATTTATATATAAATATATACATTTATATATAAATATATATAAATATATATATTTATATATAAATATATACATTTATATATATTTATATATAAATATATACATTTATATATAAATATATATAAATATATACATTTATATATAAATATATATAAATATATACATTTATATATAAATATATATAAATACATACATTTATATATAAATATATATAAATATATACATTTATATATAAATATATATAAATATATAAATATATAAATATATAGAAATATATATATTTAATATATAAATATATATAACATATATATTTATATATTATATAACATATATATTTAATATATAAATATATATATACATATATACATATATGTATAAACATATGTATATTTGCTTTCTGAGATACAAACTAATCGAAGACTTTCATCTCTTGAAAAAACAGATTAAGAGTAGCAATAGCAGATAAAAATTAAAATATTCACTGGTTAATCAAGTTTTCTCATAATCCTGAAAGCACTGGACAGAGTATTGTTTGTGAAGGTATTCTGAATACTAATTTAGTGCACTATTTGGGTTCAAGTAGAGAAAATTTAAAAAACCACAGCATTATCTAGGAATCTATAGAAATTTGAAGAAGTTTCAGGCCTTGCTCAGATTATCTCTGACCCTGCAAACATAGACTCTTTCTCGCTCATATTCAGTAATTCTAACACTTATGTTTATAATTAAAAAATAAAAATTTACTCAAGATTCTTTTCAACTCATATTCAGCTTATAGGCTGGAGATTGATCTTAAAGAAACCGGACATTGTTTTTGCGTGTTAGAGCAATTTGAGAAAATATTGATTTCACTTTATAAGGCTTGAATGCTTCTATATGACTCAGAATTGGACACCAATGTTCCTAGCATTTAAAATTTTCTATTCTCCTTTGTTTATGTTCCAGTTATTGAAATATTCTTAATCTATGTTGTATTTAACATTTTTATGCTTATATTGCTTTATTGTCACTTGTGTGGATGAAAAGAGTCAAAGTGTAAAGTATTTGAAGAGATTTATTCTGAACCAAATATGAGTGACCATGGCCCATGACACAGCCCTCAGGAGGTCCTGAGAACACACGCCTTAGGTGGTCAGGGTGAAGCTTGGTTTTATATATTTTAGGGAGGCACGAGAAATCAATCAAGTACATTTAAGAAATACATTGGTTTGGTCCAGAAAGGCAGGGCAGCTCAAATCAGGGGGCCTTCCAGGCTATAGATAAATTTAAACATTTTTTGGTTGACAATTGGCTGAGTTTGCCTAAAGACCTGGTATCAATAAAAAGAAAATGTCTAGGTTAAAATAAAAGGTTTGTGGAGACCAAAGTTTTGTCTTGCAGATGAAGCCTCCAGGTACCAGGCTTCAGAGAGAATAGGCTGTAAAGTAATTCTTATCAGACTTAAAGTCTGTGTTGATCTTCATGCCAGAGAGGCATAATGAGGCATGTTTGACTCCCACTTCCCATGATGGCCTAAAACAGTCCCTCAGATCAAATTTTAAGAGCCCTGGCTGAGGAGGAAGTCCATCAACATGGTTGGGGGTGGGGGCGGGCGCTTAGAATTTTATTTTTGGTTTACGTCTTCCCCTTTCTGGCCAAGATTTGCCAGAGACAACATCAAAGGCAAGCAAATTTTTGTTTTGTCTCATAGCATTGCCAGGGTGGCACAGCTGCTTGCCCTGGGTCTATCCTGTCCCTTGGTGGGGCTCCCTGAGGCATAGGGCCTTAAGAGGCAAAACACTTATAGCCAATTAATTATTCTGTGCCATATAGGAATAGATGTGGACAGGCATTCATTACCTCTTCAAGTTATTATTTTAAGTAAAAAGCCAACAAACAAAACAAAAAGGCAAATTTATAAGACTGATTTATTTTTAACTTCTATGTGTTGAGATGCTGTAAGCTTGGTTTTTGTTACAGACTTATAGCAATTAGCTGTACAAAACAAAAGCATTGCTCTAAAAATAATTTAAAATATGTGTATATATCTCTGTATATCTATATTTATCTTCACAACTCATGACTGGGAGTATTATATCCAGGAGGCTTTGTTACAAGGTATCTATATTCTGTTAGTAAATATTTTCCTTTAATTCTACAGTAAGCAGAAAACACTCTATAGTTGGGGTGGATGCAAAAGTGACACATAATCATTTAGAAGGCAACTAAAGGTGCTTTACCAGTTGTTTAGGCATCTTTGTACCCCTTCTTGATTTGGAGGTTTGATCTTGACCTAATTTTATCGCTCGTAACTGGTCCTTATTATCTTATGGGCCCACCTTCTCTGCAACAGTCCCTGAACCTAGAGGGAGGGTGCTTGTATAGTTTTAGAAGCAGAGCTTTCTCAGTGAAAAGGATTCCAGCCCAGTGGGACGCCAGATGACGGAGATTCATATCTCTGGTCTTCAAAATGCCATGATTTTTGTTTCCTTGGAAGTGAAACAAGGAGAGATAAATAACAAATGTTTGACAATTATTTGGCAATTATAAGAGGAATTTTTGTGTCAGAACAGAAAAAGAAACCTATTCCATCAGAGCATCAACTAAAAATATGAAGAAAAATATGATCTGGTACTCTCTGGAGGATTATTGTAGCCAAGAAATAATGATTCAATCTGCACTCATACAAAACAAGTTAGGGCTGAAATCTAGTATTAAGTGTCACACTTTTCCTTTGAAACAATCTCTCTAGCTGCTTTTTTTCCATTAAAGAGAAATTACGGCAAGTCTGATTATTTGCATAAAATGCAGCAAGAATTGATTGGCCACACAGACTCCTTTTAAGTTGACCTTGCTGGAACTTTACCTAAAAATACACTATTTTAGATTAAGTCTTGTTAAAGCAACTAGGGCCTCCAATTGTTTGTTTTAAAACTCTTATTGAACTTATGCAAACAGTTATATTGTCAAAAAATTACTGTCTGAATTTTGGAGAACTCAGAAAGGCAAATTTGCTTACAAATACATGCTTTACGCAAAAAAACTTAAAAGAAAAAGATATTCTTGACCCTTCTTTAACCAGACCAGCGGCTATTAAACAAGATGTTTGTTTACCTTGGAAATACCATTTACAAACTAAACAGCTCATGAGCACTATCAGGTACTGTAGAATTTAGAAGCTCCTCATAATTAGTCCTAGAAAAGAGGCTCTCTGCTTATCAGGTAGCAAGATTTTATGTAAACCATTTTTATTTTATCATGAAACTCTTTTGGGAAACATTATTTCATTAGCCTAGGGGTAGCTTCCGTTCACATTCCATCACAAGGCAGTAAATGCTCCTTGTAGTGGAAGTTCTCTAGTTCAGTCATTGTCATTGAAAAGTACTCACCGTTTTTTTGCCATTATCCCTGATAAATGCTCCACACAAAGGACTGTGCAGTGGAGGATCTGTCCTGATTAGCACTCCAGCTTCTACCCTATACTTTGTGGGCTGAGGCGATTTTACTAGTTCCCATTTAGCATGTCCAATTAACATTTCCTAAAAGAGCAGAATTACATGCCCTCAGTTTCATAGTACTAGAAAGAGGAAATATCCCCAGTCAGATGCAGTAGCTCTTTTCATAAGATATTTAAGTAAAGGAGTTAAAACTAGCTTACATAAAGCTTGTTTCAACATCTTACATTTTATAATTCTATTAACCTGTATGTTTATATGTTCTGGTCCCAGGGACCCTTTCTTACCCCCAGATCATTTTACCTTTTCTGGTGAAAGGGTTTGGGGTCCCAGTAGGGAGTTGCATCTGTAAAACCTATGAGGGACAGCAAATTTGGTAAGGCTTCTTAAACAGTCCTATGATTCTGTAGGAGGGGCACTCCTCTGAAAGGGGCCCCCTTAGCCCCCAAATGTACTATGACCTGGGTAACAGGCATATTTGGTGGGAGGATATTCCAGTTATCACAAAGGCAGTCTGATCTGGCTTGCATATGTAGCATATTAACTGCTTCATCTGGTGTGCTTCAGTTGTTATTTCATAGGGAGAGTTGGGCAGTCCCCTTCTCAGGGCAAATGGACCTTACAGTGGCATTTATCCAGTTTACTTGGCTGATCATTCTCTTAGGATACCAGTCTGTGAAACAGAACAATTCCTTTACATTATATCATCTGGGTTTTTTTTAAATTATACTTTTAGTTCTAGAGTACAAGTGCACAACATGCAGGTTTGTTACATATGAATACATGTGCCATGTTGTTGTGCTGCACCCATTAACTCGTCATTTACATTAGGTATATCTCCTAATGCTATCTCTACCCCCTACCCCCACCCTGTGACAGGCCCCAGCGTGTGATGTTCCCCACCCTGTGTCCAAGTGTTCTCAATGTTCAATTCCCACCTATGAGGGAGAACATGTGGTGTTTGGTTTTCTGTCCTTGGGACAGTTTGCTGAGAATGATGGTTTCCAGCTTCATCCATGTCCCTACAAAGGACATGACCTCATCCTTTTTTATGGCTGCATAGTATTCCATGGTGTATATGTGCCACATTTTAGTTTAATTAGATCCCATTTGTCTATTTTGGCTTTTGTTGCCATTGCTTTTGGTGTTTTAGTCATGAAGTTCTTGCCCATGCCTATGTGCTGAATGGTATTGCCTAGGTTTTCTTCTAGGGTTTTTATGGTTTTAGGTCTAACATTTAAGTCTTTAATCCATCTTGAATTAATCTTTGTATAAGGTATAAGGAAGGAATCCAGTTTCAGCTTTCTACATATGGCTAGCCAGTTTTCCCAGCACCATTTATTAAATAGGGAATCCTTTCCCCATTACATTATACCCTCTGGTTTTTAATGGTTAATGGGTTTTACCCTTTCCCCATATCAACTATTTTCTTGGTAATCACAGAGCTCAGAATTAACTGTTGTTGTCCTGGCTTAGTTTTTTTCTTTGTTGTTGTTGTTTATTTGTTTTGTTTGCTTTTGTCTAATTTTTTCTTTATTTTAAAGCAACCCTTAACTAGTTTTTTAACTAGAGGAAAAACCTAGTTTCCTTTTTTTGGATATATTGTTATTTATTTTATTTTTTTATTATACTTTATGTTCTATGGTACATGTACACAACATGCAGGTTTGTTACATATGTATACATGTGCCACGTTGGTGTGCTGCACCCATTAACTCATCATTTACGTTAGGTGTATCTCCTAATGGTATCTCTCCCCCTCCGCCCACCCCACGACAGGCCCCAGTATGTGATGCTCCCCACCCTGTGTCCAGGTGTTCTCATTGTTCAATTCCCACCTATGAGTGAGAACACGCAGTGTTTGGTTTTCTGTCCTTGCGATAGTTTGCTGAGAATGATGGTTTCCAGCTTCATCCATGTCCCTACAAAGGACATGAACTCATCCTTTTTTATGGCTGCATAGTATTCCATGGTGTATATGTGCCACATTTTCTTAATCCAATCTATCATTGATGGACATTTGGGTTGGTTCCAAGTCTTTGCTATTGTGAAAAGTGCCACAATAAACATACGTGTGCATGTGTCACTCTGATGGTAGTTTCTTTTACTGTGCAGAAGCTCTTTAGTTTAATTAGATCCCATTTGTCAATTTTGGCTTTTTGTTGCCATTGCTTTTGGTGTTTTAGTAATGAAGTCCTTGACCATGCCTATGTCCTGAATGGTATTGCCTAGGTTTTCTTCTAGGGTTTTTATAGTTTTAGGTCTAACATTTAAATCTTTAATCCATCTTGAATTAGTTTTGTATATGGTGTAAGGAAGGGATCCAGTTTCAGCTTTCTACATATGGCTAGCCAGTTTTCCCAGCACCATTTATTCATAGGGAATCCTTTCTCTATTGCTTGTTTTTGTCAGGTTTGTCAAAGATCAGATGATTGTAGAGCAGTGGTATTATTTCTGAGAGCTATGTTCTGTTCCATTGGTCTATATCTCTGTTTTGGTATCAGTACCATGCTGTTTTGGTTACTGTGGCCTTGTAGTATAGTTTGAAGTCAGGTAGCGTGATGCCTCCAGCTTTGTTCTTTCTCCCACTGAGAGCCATTTCCATCACTCAATAAAATCCCCACATTCAGCATTCTTCATGTCCAAGTGACCTGATTCTTCCTGGATGCCAGAGAAGAACCTGGGTACCAAAAGGGCAGAGAATAAAAAAGCTGCCACACTGACTCTCCACTGAGCTGGTTTAACACTCAGCCATTCACAGACAGCAGAGCTAAAAGAGCACTGTAACATGCCCACTGGGTCTTTGGGAGTTCCAGGCAACCTCCGCCCCCAGATGCTGCCATGGGGCCTTCATGGAGTTTGCTTCTGCCAAGACCCAAACACACTTTCCCTGGCTCCTGCATCTGCCCATCCGTGTGCTTCCCCTCCCATGAAAGGTTTGAACCTGAGGCAACCAAGCAAGTGAGCCACACCTCTGACACAAGTCCTGTGAGGGGGTCAGGGAACTCTCCCACTTCAGTACTTAATATCAAGCCCATAAAAAAATCCATAAAAAGACCCATACAAACATATCCAAGAGCAATTCAATAGAGGAATTAAAGCCTTTCAACAAATAGTGCTGGAACAATTGCACATCTATAAACAAAAAATATGAACCTTGTCAAAAACCACAACCTTTATATAAAAATTATTTAAAGTGGACCACAGACTTAAATGTGAAAGAAAAATATAAAACTTTTTAAAAAATAAGATAAAATTATCAGCTTTTGGGGCCAGGAAAAATTCTTAAACTTCACACCAAAAATACAATCCATAAAAAAGAAAATTTCATAAATTGGACATCATTAAAATTAAAAACTTTTGTCTTCTGAAAGAGCCTGTAAAGAGGATAAGTCAAGCCACAATCTTGGAGAAAATATTTGCAAATCACATATGTGACAATAGATAAGCATATATAAAGAATTCTCTAAAACCTAACAACAAAACAAAACCCCCGACCTATCCTGATCAGAAATAAGCAAAAGATAGGAACAGATATTTTACCAAAGAGAATATACAGATAAAAAATAAGCACATAAAATCATCATTGTCCATCAGGAAACTGCAAATGAAAACCATAATTAAATGTCAGTACACTCTTATAATGGCTGAAACAAAAAATAGTGACAATATAAAATGCTGGCAAGGAGGGGGATAAGCTGGATCACTAATACAGTGCTGGTGGAAATTAAAATGGTACAGCCACTCTGGAAAAACAGCTTGGTAGTCTCTTAAAAAGTAAATATCCAACTACTACTGTATGACCCACCAATTGCACTCTGGGGACTTTTTTTCCAGGGAAATGAAAACTCATGTTGACACAAAATCCTGTACACTAATGTTCACAGATGCTTTATTCATAATAGGCGAAATGTGAAAACAATCCAGGTTGGATGCAATAGGAGGCTATTGAGTAATTCATGTTAAGAGGTGATTGAGCATGAACAAAGACAGCAGCAGTGGAAATGGAGAGAAATGGATGGATTTTAGAGATATAAATGGGGGGTAAATAGCTGGATTTTGTGATGGATTAGATATGGGCAGTTGGAGAAAAGGAGGTGTCAAGGATATCTGAATTCTAGGTTTTTACTGGTATAAAGTATGCTAGAAGAGAACAGAGTACATAGTTACAGGCATGGAAGAGGCCATAAATGAGTAATATAGCTTTATTAGTATGTACCAGTTACATATCAAGCCCATAGAGAGGTATAGGTCCAGGAAACAAGAAAAAAATACTTTTAATAGAAAACACTTAGTGTATTTAACATCAGTTAGGGAGATAGATAGAGAAGAGAAAGGCAGGAGAAGAATATAAACGAGTGAGAAAATATACTAGTACTCGAAAGATATTATTATCCTCATTTACTTACATTAGAAATGACTCAGACAGGAAAATAATAATCAGCCACCAGATAGCAAATGGAAGATCCTAGATTGACATCCATATCTGACTTTTGAACTATTAATCACACTAATTACTACAAATTTTCTTGTAACAAAAAAATTAAGTCCATGATCTATATCCTAATATTAGATTTTTAGGAGCAGCTCCCTCATTAACATAGAAAGGAATAAGGAAATATTCTGATTCACTGAATTTAAGCAATGTGTCTTTCCTTACAAATAGATGTGTGTAGTAGATGAAGGATGAATCTTTCACTCTAGAAAAGTATCTTTTACATTTTGAGGAAACAGACTCACCAGAATCAGACAGATTCTCACCTTACTTTATCTTTAATGTTATTTTGAAACTCACTGTGAACACATTAAACAGAGCTGTGTTCAAGTAAGGACTTGATGAATAAAGAAAATAAAATGCTGAAACCTTGCACTGAACTGAGTCTCTTCTTTTAATAGAAGAATAAAATTCATGTACATGTATTAGTGATATGTTTGGGCTTATTCATGCTATTTTATTTGTTTTAATTTTTGTTTGTTTGTTTGCTGGCTTGTTTACAATGTTTTTATTTCTTTTCTTTCTTTCCTTTCCATGGGTTGACCAAGTTTTATTTGTTCTTTTTTTCCCTTAGTAGTTTGTAAGATGTAAAAATGATTTCTATTTTTGTAACGATTACCTTAGCATTTCAAACAAACATATTTAATCTTGCAGTTTTTAATCACCATGTAGTTATATCAATATTCTTCTCCAATAAACATCCTTTTACTTCACTCTTCACTCCAGCTACTTCTCATATTGAAATTACTGGTATTTTATTTTCAATTTGCCACCAAAGTCTTTACATTATTTTACTACATTTCAAAATATTACTTAAGCTTCAAGTCCATATTATAAAAAATTACTTAGAATGAATTGTATAGTTTAGTGTTTTGTTTTGCTTTTGTTTGCTTAGCATGCTTTCTCATGTCTCACATCTTCTTTCTTCTTTGTTTCATTTTTATTTTTACTGAAGTATAAGTAAGTAATTTGTTCAGAGAAGATACGTGGGTAATAAATGTTCTGCATTGTATATGCCCATATATTTTTATTTTACTCTTAACTTAAATGACAGTTTGGCTGGCTATAAAATTCTGGGTTCAAAATTATTTTCTGGAGAATGGTGAAGACACTGATAATTTTTCTCCTGACATCTAGTGTTGAAGGTGAAAAATGTGATGGTAAACATATTATGATTCCTGTAGAATAAGCTTTTTATTCCCATTCCTATTTTCTGAAAGTTTTTCAGAGTTTCATTTTATAATAAGTCCTATGGGTCCATCTCTTGACTTTTTTTCTATAACTTTGTTCTTTGGTAACAGGGTGTAGGAGGGTCCCTTGCCTTGAACTTCTTCCCAACTAATTTGGTTGTCTGGTCTACACATTTTGCTATTTATTCCATCTATCAAACTCTTTTATTTTGGTAATGAAAATTTTAATTTCCAAGGACTATTTCATAGTAGCCTGAACTTTGGGGGTGAGAGGAGGATGGAGGTTAATGGGTACAGTATCTTCTCAAATTTCTTTGAGAACATAAATTAAATGGATTTTGAACTCTTCTTTCTTTTACTCTATAAATTATTTTCCCTTAGGTAATTGCCTCTGGGTATTGGTGTTTGTTTTTCTCAAATATTTGATGATTCTTTGGTGCCTGTTTCCATTTATACATGTTCATTTATAAGCATTTAGATCAAAGTTAACATATGGTTACTCAGCTCAAGAGCCACCAGTGTTGTTTGGCTAGCACAATGTGAGATATTTAGACTGGCAGATTGCCCAGGTAGTTTTTTTCTGGATATGTGAGTTCCTTCCTTCTGATGGCCTTAAAAGATCTGGGCATTTCCTCACTTATGGGACATATTGGCTTCATATGCTTACTAAGCCATGTATATAACTTCTAGTGCAAATAATAAAGTCAAATTAAGTAAAGGCTTAACTGGAAAAAAATACTCTTTAAAAAATTAAAATATATCTGCATTTAATTTAAATTATGGTAAACAATAGAGAGGCTTATTCTTTATATTTCTATGGCCTCATGTTAAATTTTTAGGCTATGATAAAACAGAGAATAACCAAATACTTAATTTTCAAAACTGAAGTTCAACTAATATTTCAATGCTATAGCTTCATATCACTCTCTAAAATATACATTGCTTTTTCAATGTTTTATCCTCTGCTACTTAAACTAGTTGAGAATATTAGTTCTTTAGTAAATATCTTTGAAATGATGAACTATGCTTGAAAATACACATCGTATTGTGTCTATATCTGCAACTAATTGAAGTCCAGATATTAACATGTGTAATGACATAATGATGGTAATCACACACTTCTGAAGCCATGGACATTTTCCCACTCTGATTTCTCATGACTGTGTCATATAATATCTCACATTTCCAATTGGTGCTGCATGCTACCAATGAAGAAATTTTCTTTTGTAACTTTTTTTGGAATTAGAAATTTGCAGTAATTTACAAAACAAGGCAAAAAAGATAGTTGTGATTTATTTTAGTTTCTTCTTGGAAATTAAACTTAACATGTGAACAGTGATACAGGTCTGAATGAGTCTAGACAACTTAGCCAACATTGCCTGTTCACTAATAAAAAGTTCAAATAGGCTGTGTGAACATGTTTACAGGTTGGTTTATTCTTGCTCAAGTCAGTAAAAATCATTGTAAAATGAATAAAAATGGGTCTTAAACAATGTAGCATAGATTTATAAATGTTTTCTAGCAGCCAAAAAGAACATAAATCCTCTTAATTTTAAAAGCAAGAGCAGGAGTTTTATACATACAAAGCAATTATGTAGACTGTTGGAAAGAGGTAAGCTTATGAAAAGCATTCAGGAGATTTTCTAAAGATTAATGTATTGACCTCACAATTAACCATTAATATTTCTCTTTCAAGCTGGTTGCCTGTCATACCAATCCATGTAAGTGGATCACTAGGGGTAAATGCCCCCCCTTTTTTTATCCAGTGTATTGAATCTTTGAATGTGAACCTTAGCTCAGTGTATTCAGTATACTTGTTCAATGGGTAACCAATAAAGATAATGTATAAGGTAAAATATTTAGAGTATTTTATACTTGGCAATTTGCCTTGTATTATGTAACCTTGATGGAATCTAACACATAAAATTCTTAACTTAACCAAGAGCTTGTCCTTGATTCTAGTGTAAACCAAAAATAAAATTCTAAGTTCCCCCAACCATCTCAATGGACTTCCTCCTCAGCCAGGGCTCTTAAAATTTAACCTGAGAGGCTGTTTCAGGCCATGATAGGAAGAGGGGTCAAACATGACTCCTTATACCTCTCTGGCATTAACTTCAACACAAATTTTAAGTCTGATAAAAAACAGTTTACCACCCATTCTCTCTGAAGCCTGCTACCTGGAGGCTTCATCTGCGTTATAAAACTTTGGTCTCCACAACCTCTTATCTTAACCCACACATTTCCTTTCTGTTAATCCCAGGTCTTTAGACAAACTCAACCAATTGTCAATGAAAAAATGTTTAAATTTACCTATAGCCTGGAAGCACCCCTCCGCCCCTACTGCTTTGAGTTTTCCTGCCTTTCTGGACCAAACCAATGTGTTTCTTAAATGTGTTTGATTGACATCTCATGCCTCCCTACAATGTATAAAACCAAGCTGCACCCTGACCACCTTAGGCACATCTTCTTGGGACCTCTTGAGGGCTGTGTCATGGGCCATGGTCACTCATATTTGGCTCAGAATAAATCTCTTCAAATATTTTAAAGAGTTTGACTCTTTTCATCGACAGCAATTTGGCATGCAAACACGTGGGGCCTCAGAGAAGACTCAGGACCTTGAAGGAGTTGCCCAACTCAGAGCTATGGTACTAGCAGGGGTCCACTGAAGCCTCCGCAAGTTGCAGCTTCTCCTCTGGTAAAACTGGTAAGTCCTCCCGAGCCCTGAACCTCCCTTCGGTTGACGGTCCTTGATTTATTCTGAGCTGGTTTTCCTTCTAGGAGTTGTTGTTTCAGCATCCTAATTCTAGTTTGGAGATGCATTCTAAAGGATCTTCTCTATTGCTTTTTCTCCCACAATTAATCTTGATTCTGCCTGTCTGTGCACATTTGCATGAGGAACTGAACTGTTGTTTTCATAGGTAAATGAGAGACTGAGTTTTTTCATTTCTGAAGAGAAAGGGCATTTGCTCCTACAAGCTGAAAGGCACCCCTGGGTGGCTGGGGCCCTCATGGGAGTTTCTGGGGGATTGACCCTTACAACATGCAGTGGCCCTACAGAAAAACCTGCAACTAAAAATTATTTTTTAAAAAGGCTCCTCCAGGAAATGCATATAAGGGCTAATCACCCAGTATTTTGAGCCTTCGAAGAGGTAATAGACCCCTGGAGAGAGAAACTGAGACATGTAAGAGGGTGGGAATGACTCAGTGGTGGCACACTGTGGAGTCCTGCCCACAAGTAGCACACATCAACCCACTACACAGAAATCCTAGGGCAAAGCTCCGTTCCTCCTTTTAAGAAAAAAAAGGGAAACTAATAATCTAAGAATGAGGAGAAAACAAGGAGAATGACCCACTTTTGAGCATTCCATAGGTTTTATGGCACCTCTACTTGCCAGGGTTTATGTAGAATGGAAGTAATATGGTCTTCGTGCACATAGACATTAAGGAAAATTAGCCCTAAGGTAGACCTGCAAACTGTAGAGTTCCTAAGTTCTCTTTTTCTCTATTTTCTTTTTTGCCTGCTTTAAATCTGCTGTTACTCTTCTACCGAGATAAAAATCACTGTTTGGATCTCACAGTTTTTTTTTTTTCTTTTTTTTGACAAGCCGGTGAATTTGTATTTATGTCATGGCTAAAATTCTGAAGTAAAAGCTATAGGATCTCTGTGTGTGTGTGTGTGTGTGTGCGCGTGTGCGTGCGCGAGCGCACATGCGTGCGCACGAGTGTGTATATTTAAAACACCTTTATAAATTATATAATTTATGTTTAATTGGCAGTTAAACCCCTTTTAATTTCCCTCTAGCACACCAGATTTTTTCTCTTCATACCTTATGATGTAAATTTTGCTATCTGATTTTCACCTCAGTTGTTTCTTTAATCTGCAAATTTAGGGCTCTTTAGCTGACAACTGCCTAGGGTGATGAAACAGGTTATCAAGAATTTGAAAGTCTAAGATAGGAAAGAAAAGAGGTCTTAAGGATCTGTAAGGTGTATTTCTATCAGCATGTCTAATATGTCTATGTATTTATGTGTTGTGTACACAATGTTTCACAACTAAAAATGTGTAAAAGAGCTCGAATTAACTGGCTTAATAGATAAATAAAAGTGCTTAAATCAAATACTTTAAAAAAACTAGTCAAACACTTTTTCAAGTTCACATGACTTGAGCAAACTCTTAAATAAGCTGGCTTTTAAATTACTGGTAAAAATAATATTAACAATATCTTAAGAATTGTTGACTTTTTTGTATTTATTGATCAAGTGGTTTTGTGCTTATACCTGCAGAATACTGTAAGATTTGCCATAAGAGTTATAAAAGTATGAAACCCAGCCCAAGACAGAATGACCTTTGCTTGTGTAATTTTAACAAATAAGACATGGAATATTGTTGGTTTAATGAAAACAGCTAACTCCTGAGTTATTGGTAAAAAAAAAAATTCCCTTATATTTAACCTTAAGTTTCTTAAGTAAATACCTGAAATTCACAGAGATAAAAAATGGTTAATAGGAAAATAACTTTAAAATTAACTGTCACAGTTTTAGTAAATAATCTAGGTAAACTATTAATCAGGGAAAGGTAATGGAATAAATTCTGGTAAACAAACATCATAATTTAGGGTCTCAGGTTAATTGATATTAAGTACTGAAGTGGGAGAGTTCCCTGACCCCTTCACAGGACTTGTGTCAGAGGTGTGGCTCCCTTGCTTTGTTGCCTCATGTTTGAACCTTTTATGGGAGGGGAAGCACACAGATGGGCAGGTGCAGGAGCCAGAGCAAGTGCATTTGGGTCCTGGCAGAAGCAAACTCCATGAAGGCCCCATGGCAGCATCTGGAGCAGGGGGTGCCTGCGACTTCCAAAGCCCCAGTGGGCATGTTACAGTGTTCTTTTACCTCTGCTGTCTGTGGATGGCTGAGTGTTAAACCAGCTCAGTGGAGGGTCAGTGTGGCAGCCTTTTATTCCCTGCCCTTTTGGTACCCAGGTTCTTGTCGGCATCCAGGAGGAATCAGGTCAGTTGGACATGAAGAATGCTAATGTGGGGATTTTATTGAGTGATGGAAATGGCTCTCAGTGGAATAGATGGAGAGCTGGAAAGGGGATGGAGGGGGAAGATGATCCTTCCCTGGAGTTTTGCTGTCCTGCAGACAATCTCCTCCCGACTGTCCCCAGCTGAACTACTCTCAACGTTCAGATGCTTGTTCTCTTCTCTCTTTCTCTGCCACACTACTCAGCCATGTTGACACTCTGCCACTCTTCTGCTCTTCCGCTTGTGGAGCCTTGGGTTTGGGGTTTATATGGGTACAGGATGGGGGGTGTGGCTGACCAAAAGGCAACATCTGGGCACTAAAACAGGAATGCCTGTTCCCATTTAGAGCTGCAGGCTTCCAGGCTTAAGGGTGTGGCCTTGTCAGGGAACTGCCGTCTTCTACGCAATATTTCCTTGCCTGTTGCCTGTATCAGTATCTGGGTAATTTCCCATTTAAAAATTACAAAAAAACATTTTTTTAAAAAGAAGTTCTTATTAAAAGGTAAAATATCTTTGTCTAATTCGAAGCTTATTTTAAGTTTACATATAAAACATGGTAAAGGAATCAGGAAATAAGAGATGTAAAGAAAGTTAAAGATATAAAGAGGTACTTTTGGTAAAGAAGATAGAAAGGAAAGCAATTTTACATGAGAAAGAATCTTGTGTGGTGAATTTTTGTCCTAAAGTAAATGACTAGGTTATTCAAGAAAGAGGGATATTTAGGAACAAACAGAAAGTCTACACATCTTGTGAATGGTCTATGTAAGTCATAATAAAGATAGTAAAAAGGAATATTTAAAGCAGTTGTATAATTCAGTTGGCTGTGATTAAGAAGAAATAAGAGTCTTTCTAAAGATGGGTCTTTGATATTAAAACAATACACTAATACAAAACCAAATAACTGGTTAAAACAAGATTTTATTCCAAATGTTGCCTTACTTTTAATACAAGAAGTTTTACATTTTTTAAATTCTATAATCTGTTTCTTTAACATTCTTCAGATTGATATTGCAGAGGTTCAACTCTTTCTCTTGAAAAGGCCTTGAAGGATAGGTCTCTCCTTCACCTTTTGCTGGTTCCTGTAACTTTTATTAATTATCTAAAGTAAGGGAGGTTTTTTTTTTTGTGAAAACAGGCAAATAATAAACTATCTTTTGGGCCTGGCTTTTTATTCTGTATGCCAGTTACATGTCTATCTTTATATATGTCATGTGAAACTGATATTTCACCACTAAACTATATGAAAGAGCTCTAATCAAGTAACTTACTTAAGAAGGTGCTAATCAGATTGGTAGAAGCTAGCTTGGATGCCTTTTAATTCACATGACCTTGGTAATCTTTGGTAAATTTAATTTGGTAAATTTAATCTCAAAACTCTCCAGTAATTTAAAATCTGAAAGTCATGTTAAACCCTCCAGTTATTTTTCACTGGAAATTTGGGTTACTTTTGATAACTGGCTTTATGATAACTGGAATATCCTCCCACCAAATATGCCTGTTACCCAGGTCATAGTACATTTGGGGGCTAAGGGGGCCCCTTTCAGAGGAGTGCCCCTCCTACAGAATCATAGGACTGTTTAAGAAGCCTTACCAAATTTGCTGTCCCTCATAGGTCTTACAGATGCAACTCCCTACTGGGACCCCAAACCCTTTTCACCAGAAAAGGTAAAATGCTCTGGGGGTAAAAAAGGGTTCCTGGGACCAGAACATATAAACATACAGGTTAATAGAATTATAAAATGTAAGATGTTGAAACAAGCTTTATGTAAGCTAGTTTTAACTCCTTTACTTAAATATCTTATGAAAAGAGCTACTGCATCTGACTGGGGATATTTCCCCTTTCTAGTACTATGAAACTGAAAGCATGTAAATCTACTCTTTTAGGAAATGTTAATTGGACATGCTAAATGGGAACTAGTAAAATCGCCTCAGCCCACAAAGTATAGGGTAGAAGCTGGAGTGCTAATCAGGACAGATCCTCCACTGCACAGTCCTTTGTGTGGAGCATTTATCAGGGATAATGGCAAAAAAACGGTGAGTACTTTTCAATGACAATGACTGAACTAGAGAACTTCCACTACAAGGAGCATTTACTGCTTTGTGATGGAATGTGAACGGAAGCTACCCCTAGGCTAATGAAATAATGTTTCCCAAAAGAGTTTCATGATAAAATAAAAATGGTTTACATAAAATCTTGCTACCTGATAAGCAGAGAGCCTCTTTTCTAGGACTAATTATGAGGAGCTTCTAAATTCTACAGTACCTGATAGTGCTCATGAGCTGTTTAGTTTGTAAATGGTATTTCCAAGGTAAACAAACATCTTGTTTAATAGCCGCTGGTCTGGTTAAAGAAGGGTCAAGAATATCTTTTTCTTTTAAGTTTTTTTGCGTAAAGCATGTATTTGTAAGCAAATTTGCCTTTCTGAGTTCTCCAAAATTCAGACAGTAATTTTTTGACAATATAACTGTTTGCATAAGTTCAATAAGAGTTTTAAAACAAACAATTGGAGGCCCTAGTTGCTTTAACAAGACTTAATCTAAAATAGTTTATTTTTTGCCAACTTAAAAGGAGTCTGTGTGGCCAATCAATTCTTGCTGCATTTTATGCAAATAATCAGACCTGCCATAATTTCTCTTTAATGGAAAAAAAGCAGCTAGAGAGATTGTTTCTAAGGAAAATGTGGCATTTAATACTAGATTTCAGCCCTAACTTTTTTGTTTGAGTGCAGATTGAATCATTATTTCTTGGCTACAATAATCCTCCAGAGAGTACCAGATCATATTTTTCTTCATATTTTTAGTTGATGCCCTGATGGAATAGGTTTCTTTTTCTGTTCTGACACAAAAATTCCTCTTATAATTGCCAAATAATTGTCAAACATTTGTTATTTATCTCTCCTTGTTTTACTTCCAAGGAAACAAAAATCATGGCATTTTGAAGACCAGAGATATGAATCTCCTTCATCTGGCGTCCCACTGGGCTGGAATCCTTTTCACTGAGAAAGCTCTGCTTCTAAAACTATACAAGCACCCTCCCTCTAGGCTCAGGGACTGTTGCAGAGAAGGTGGGCCCATAAGATAATAAGGACCAGTTACGAGCGATAAAATTAGGTCAAGATCAAACCTCCAAATCAAGAAGGGGTACAAAGATGCCTAAACAACTGGTAAAGCACCTTTAGTTGCCTTCTAAATGATTATGTGTCACTTTTCATCCACCCCAACTATAGAGTGTTTTCTGCTTACAATAGAATTAAAGGAAAATATTTACTAACAGAATATAGATACCTTGTAACAAAGCCTCCTGGATATAATACTCCCAGTCATGAGTTGTGAAGATAAATATAGATATACAGAGATATATACACATATTTTAAATTATTTTTAGAACAATGCTTTTGTTTTGTATAGCTAATTGCTATAAGCCTGTAACAAAAAACAAGCTTACAGTATCTCAACACATAGAAGTTAAAAATAAATCAGTCTTATAAATTTGCCTTTTTGTTTTGTTTGTTGGCTTTTTACTTAAAATAATAACTTGAAGAGGTAATGAATGCCTGTCCACATCTATTCCTATCTGGCCTAGAACAGTTAATTGGCTGTAAGTGTTTTGACTCTTAAGGCCCTATGCCTCAGGGAGCCCCACCAAGGGACAGGATAGACCCAGGGCAGGCAGCCATGCTGAGAGGTGACAGCGTGCTGGCAGTCCTCGCAGCCCTCGCTTGCTCTCGGTGCCTCCTCTGCCTGGGCTCCCACTTTGGCGGCACTTGAGGAGCCCTTCAGCCCGCCGCTGCACTGTGGGAGCCCCTTCATGGGCTGGCTGAGGCCGGAGCCGGCTCCCTCAGCTTGCGGGCAGGTGTGGAGGGAGAGGTGCGGGCGGGAACCAGGGCTGCGTGGGCTGCTGGCGGGCCACGGTAGTTCCAGGTGGGTGTGGGCTTGGCGGGCCCCGCCTTGGAGCAGCCAGGTGGCCCTGCGCGGCCAGGCAGTGAGGGGCTTAGCACCTAGGCCAGCAGCTGCTGTGCTGAATTTCTCACCGGGCCTTAGCTGCCTTCCCATGGGGCAGGGCTTGGGACCTGCAGCCCGCCATGCCTGAGCCTCCCACCCCCCACTCCGTGGGCTCCTGTGCTGCCCAAGCCTCCCCGAGGAGCGCCATCCCCTGCTCCACAGCACCCAGTCCCATCGACCACCCAAGGGCTGAGGAGTGAGGGTGCACGGCGCGGGACTGGCAGGCAGCTCCACCTGCGGCCCGGTGCAGGATCCACTGGGTGAAGCCAACTGGGCTTCTGAGTCTGATGGGGACTTGGAGAACCTTTGTGTCTAGCTAAGGGATTGTAAATACACCAATTGGCACTCTGTCTCTAGCTCAAGGTTTGTAAACACACCAATCAGCACCCTGTGTCTAGCTCAGGGTTTGTAAATACACCGGTTGACACTCTGTATCTAGCTACTCTGGTGGGGACTTGGAGAACCTTTGTGTCTAGCTAAGGGATTGTAAATACATCAATTGGCACTCTGTCTCTAGCTCAAGGTTTGTAAACACACCAATCAGCACCCTGTGTCTAGCTCAGGGTTTGTAAATACACCAGTTGACACTCTGTATCTAGCTACTCTGGTGGGGACTTGGAGAACTTTTGTGTCCACACTCTGTATCTAGCTAATCTGGTGGGGAGGTGGAGAACCTTTGTGTCTAGCTCAGGGATTGTAAATGCACCAATCAGCGCCCTGTCAAAACAGACCACTGGGCTCTACCAATGAGCAGGATGTGAGTGGGGCCAGATAAGAGAATAAAAGCAGGCTGCGGGAGCCAGCAGTGGCAACCTGCTCGGGTCCCCTTCCGCACTGTGGAAGCTTTGTTCTTTCGCTCTTTGCAATAAATCTTGCTGCTGTTCAGTCTTTGGGTCCACACTGCCTTTATGAGCTGTAGCACTCACTGCAAAGGTCTGCAGCTTCAATCCTGAAGCCAGTGAGACCACGAACCCACCGAGAGGAACGAACAACTCCAGACGCGCCGCCTTAAGAGCTGTAACATTCACCGCGAAGGTCTGCAGCTTCACTCCTGAGCCAGCGAGACCACAAACCCACCAGAAGGAAGAAACTCCGAACACATCCGAACATCAGAAGGAACAAACTCCAGACGCGCCACCTTAAGAGCTGTAACACTCACCGCGAGGGTCCGCGGCTTCATTCTTGAAGTCAGTGAGACCAAGAACCCACCAATTCCGGACACAGTGCCACCCTGGCAATGCTATGAGACAAAATAAAAATTTGCTGGCCTTTGATGTTGCCTCTGGCAAATCTTGGCCAGAAAGGGGAAGACATAAACCAAAAATAAAATTCTAACCTCCCCCTAACAATGCTGATGGATTTCCTCGTCAGCCAGGGCTCTTAAAATTTAATCTGAGGGACTGTTTTAGGCCATCATGGGAAGTAGGGGTCAAACATGCCTCATTATGCCTCTCTGGCATTAAGGTCAACACAGACTTTAAGTCTGATAAGAATCATTTTACAGCCTATTCTCTCTGAAGCCTGGTACCTGGAGGCTTCATCTGCACGACAAAACTTTGGTCTCCACAACCTTTTATCTTAACCTAGACATTTTCTTTTTATTGATACCAGGTCCTTAGACAAACTCAGCCAATTGTCAAACAAAAAATGTTTAAATTCATCTATAGCCTAGAAGCCCCCCTGCTTTGAGCTGTCCTGCCTTTCTGAACCAAACCAATGTATTTCTTAAATGTACTTGATTGATATCTCATGCCTCCCTAAAATGTATAAAACTAAGCTTCACCCTGACCACCTTGGGCATGTGTTCTCAGGACCTCCTGAGGGCTGTGTCATGGGCCATGGTCACTCATATTTGGTTCAGAATAAATCTCTTCAAATATTTTACACTTTGACTCTTTTCATCCACACTAGTGACAATAAAGCAATATAAGCATGGAAATGTTAAATACAAAGTAACATAAATTAAGAATATTTCAATAACTGGAACATAAAGGAGAATAGAAGTATAAAATAACCTACATTAAGAATATTTCAATAACTGGAACATAAACAAAGGAGAATAGAAAATTTTAAATGCTAGGAACCTTGGTGTCCAATTCTGAGTCATATATACAAGCATTCAAGCCTTATAAAGTGAAATCAATATTTTCTCAAATTGCTCTAACACGCAAAAACAATGTCCAGTTTCTTTAAAATCAATCTCCAGCCTATAAGCTGAATATGAGTTGAAAAGAATTTTGAGTACATTTTTATTTTTTAATTATAAACATAACTGTTAGAATTACTGAATATGAGAGAGAAAGAGTCTATGTTTGCAGGTCAGAGATAATCTGAGCAAGGCCTGAAACTTCTTCAAATTTCCATAGATTCCTAGATAATGCTGTGGTTTTTCAAATATTCTCTACTTGAATGCAAATAGTGTACTAAATTAGTATTCAGAATACCTTCACAAACGATACTCTGTCCAGTGCTTTCAGGATTATGAGAAAACTTGATTAACCAGTGAATATTTTAATTTTTATCTGCTATTGCTACTCTTAATCTGGTTTTTCAAGAGATAAATGTCTTCGATTAGTTTGTATCTCAGAAAGCAAATATACATATGTATATATGTGTACATATATATGTGTGTGTATATATATATAAAGAGAGAGAGAGAGAGAGAATGGAAGAAATCGTGTAGATTTCAACTGCAAACACAAAAGAAACTAAATGGAGGGGAAAAGACCTCCAAAATTTTGCATTTGGAGATATTAAATAAGATGCAATGAGTAATTTTATGTAAGTGAAAAGTATTTGAGTGTTTCTATGGATAGCTTGGTATTTCAAAAAGCTTTTTAGACTCCAAAATAGTCATAGAATAGATCATATTTATGTATTAGAATCTCACTGTAAACATTGTTTACTGGTATTCTCTATATTCTAGGCAATCAGGAATGCCATTTTGAGGAATGTAGGTAATAAAGTTATCAAAAGGACCTTATTATGAAATAGTGTCCTCTATTTTTGTCAATTCAGGGCATGGATTCTAAGGACAGTAAAGCTCTAGTGGATTTGATTTTACATATGCTTTTAAAATGTCAGATGGTACCTTTAATCCATGGTTTTGAATCGTCACATGCCTTCTTTATAATTTATAATTTTAAAAATACCAAAATAAAAATTTTACAAATATGTTAAAATATTTGCATATTTTCTCACTAGTTTGATCCATACCTGGATGACTGATATACATCAAGCACTCCTAATTATCAGCCTATCTAGAAATTGCATAGGAGTATTTAATGTATATAAAAAGGGTATTTAGAAAGTATTCTAAATCCAAGATAATGTGGCATATTCCTTTCTCTCAAGGAGATTATAAAGTGTAGTTTCAATATGTTGGAAAGACTTATTTTAGAGCTGGAAAACTGTGCACTTTTTCTTCCTGATACCCCACACTCTTCTGGTGTTTACCCTTTATCACAGTTAATGTCCTCTTTGCCTCCAAGATATTTACATTCAGGAAGCAATTAGAACTTTCTCTTCTGGCACAGGATTAGCACTATTTTTAAACTCCCAATTTCTTCAGTTCCATCCCTAATATACCACACCATTCATATCCCTACCATGACTTGGGCAACAAACACCAACCCTTACACTTTCATTCTAGCATTCACACTGCACACCCAGACATTGTCTCAATTTCCTCTTTCTGTATTTTCAATGGAAGTGTATGACATCATTGAAGTGAAAAAAATATTACTTGTTTGCCTGAAATTTCTTCCAAAACTTTCCTTAGTTGTGGATATTTTCAGTCTTAGTTTCAGGGAATGAAGTGATTTGTGAGAGACAATAAACCACTCAATCATTTATTAAAATTATTTTTATGATTTACCATCTGTAAATTTGCCTGATTCCATTAAAAACAAATGAAGACAAAGCTGGGAAGCAAAAACAGAGGAAAAGAGTTTTCGTATACAAGTATATGTCACAGATACACTAGATTATTTGTGGACTTGCCTTGCTGGCAAAATAAAACTATCATTGTTTTATTCACATTGACTTTTGGCTCTTCCTGTGCCACATTAACTTGAATAACCCAGGTAGTCTTCAAAGGAGGGATAGTTAGGTAAACTATATACTATTAGTGATTAGAGTAATACATCTTTAATATTTGCAAGCACTCCCTCTAATATTGCTGAGAAATTTTGAATTTTACACATTAGGGAACTTGATAGCTGGGAATACTTCTGGAAATGCCTTTTTGCTCTCAGCTATTTCTGTTCTGAATACAACACAAAACCCAATATGTTTTCTTGATGACAGCTGGACTTGAGTGATGCTTGCTCATCTGTCTTTTTTTTTTTTTTTGTGGAGTGGGTGGCATGTGATGGGATGGAGTCTCACTCTGTTGCCCAGGCTGGAGTGCAGTGGCACGGTCTTGGCTCACTGCAACCTTCGCCTCCAGGCTTCAAGCAATTCTCCTCTCTCAGCCTCCCGACTAAATGGGATTACAAGTGCGCCACCATGCCGAGCTAATTTTTTTGTTTTTAGTAGAGACAGGGTTTTGCCATTTTGGCCAGGCTGGTCTGGAACTGCTGACTTCAGGTGATCCACCCACCTCGGCCTCCCAAAGTTCTGGGATTGCAGACATGAGCCACCATGGCCTGGCCTGTCATCTGTACTTTTTAAGCTTCTTAGTTGATTATAATTTACATAACCAGTTAAAAATCTTGGCTCCAAAATATCTATGTAACAGGATTGTAGAAAGAAATGAAGACCACCGAAATGACAAGCCAAGGTTATTTTTATTCAGAGCTTGCTATAGCAAGGGAGTCAGCCACCGTCACTTACATTTGGGAGAGAGGCAGGAGAGCAGAAAAGCTTTATAGTGAAAAAGTGGAGCAATAAAGTATGCTATGATCGCAGGTTGAAGGCATGGGGAAGCTAGAGGCAGGCTAGTTAGAAGCAGGACATTCTATGTGATATCGGGGGAACCCAGCCCCAATATTTCAACATAAGTTCTTTCTATTTTCCCTAACTATCAGCCGGTCTGAGAAATAAAGAGAAAGAGTACAAAGAGAGGAATTTTACAGCTGGGCCGCCAAGGGTGTCATCACATATCAATAGGACCATGATGCCCACCTGAGCCTTAAAGCCAGCAAGTTTCATTAAGCTTTCAAAAGGGGAGGGGGTGCAAGAACAGGGAGTAGATCACAAGATCACATGCTTCAAAGGGCAAAAAAGAGAACAAATATCACATGCTTCTGAGGAAACAGGACAAGGGCAAATTCAGAACTACTGATAAGGGTCTATATTCAGCTGTGCACATATTGTCTTGATAAACATCTTAAAGAACAGAAAACAGGGTTTGAGAGCAAAGAACCAGTCTGACCTCAAATTCACCAGGGTGGAGTTCCCAATCCTAGTAAGCCTGAGGGTACTGCAGGAGACCAGGGCGTATTTCAGTCCTTATCTCAACTGCATAAGACAGGCACTCCCAGAGCAGCCCTTTATAGACCTTCCCCCAAGAATGCATTCCTTTCCCAGGTTCTTAATTATTAATATTCCTTGCTAGAAAAAGTATTTAGCAATATCTTCCCCACTTGCACATCCGTTTATAGGCTCTCTGCAAGAAGAAAAATATGGCTCTATTCTGCCTGACCCCGCAGGCAGTCAGACCTATGGTTGCCTTCCCTTGTTCCCTAAAATTTCTGTTACTCTGTTCTTTTTCAAGGTGCACTGATTTCATCTTGTTCAAACACACATGTTTTGCAATCAATTTGTACAGTTAACACAATAGTGGTCCTGAGGTGCCATACATTCTCAGCTTACAAAGATAACAGGATTAAGAGATTAAAGTAAGACAGGCGTAAGAAATTATGAAAGTATTATTTGGGAACTGTTAAATGTCCATGAAATCTTCACAATTCATGTTCCTCTGCTGCAGCTCCAGCCGGTGCCTTCATTCCGGGTCCCTGACTTCCCACAACAATGTGATTGGTTTGAGAAACATATTTGGCTCTCTAAGGTTAGTTCTGAGTTGGAAAAGGGGACAAAAATTAGAGAAGTTGGCAGTTATTGACTTAAGTCCTGAATCATCTGGACCAATTGCTGCAGAGGCTGTGATTTGTCTTCCTGGACAGATTGCTGCAGGGGTTGTGGATCAGAGTTCTGTTTTCATATATTGTCTGGTCATTGTTCATTGGCATATCAGTCTTTCATGTTTCCAAACTAAAAATGACTGGCTTTATATAGTGGCCCAACAAAATACCTTCCCAAAATGCCTTGGTTTATTGATGCCAAGCTTCTGATTTTGAATTCAAAATTCATTCCTTTGGTTTGAAATTTTGTCTTTCAAGGAAATGCAAATCTAACTGGCAAATGAAATATATTAAATTTTGCCAGTTATGTGTGATAAACCTATAATATTTACTCCTCGGATCTGGTTTTAATCAGTGCAAGAATGTATCATGAGTACTGTCAGTGTACATGAAGAGGGTGGGGAGATAAAGTTTCACCAAGGAATAAAATATTGCAATGCTTAAATACTAAATATAACCTTACCAACTTCCAAATTTCACTCAGAAAGGACCTGTGTCAGAAAAAGCCAATCGTTTTTCTCTTTAGTAAAACTTCATTTTATTGGTAACTTTTCTTTTTTTTTTTAACTTTTATTTTAGGTTCGAGGTACATGTGAAGATTTGTTACATAGGTAAAATCATGTCACAAGAAATTGTTGTACAGATTATTTCATCACCCAGGAATTAAGCCCAATAGTTATCTATTCTGTTCCTCCCCCTCTCATCCTCCACCTTCAAGCAGATGCCAATGTATGTTGTTTTCCTTCTTTGTGTTCATAAGTTCTTATCATTTAGCTCCCACTTATAAGTGAGAACATGCAGCATTTAGTTTTCTGTTTCTGTGTTGGTTTGCTAAGGACAATACCCTCCAGCTCCATCCATGTTCCTGCAAAGACATTATGTTGTTCTTTTTTGTGACTGTATAGTATTCCATGGTGTATATGTACCACATTTTCTTTATCCAATCTGTCATTGATGGGCATTTAGGTCCATTCCATGTCTTTGCTATTGAGAATAGTGCTGCAGTGAACATTCACATGCATGTGTCTTTATGGTAGAATAATTTATATTCCTCTAGGTATATACCCAGTAATGCGAATGCTGGGTCAAATGGTAGTTCTGATTTTAGCTTTTTGAGGACTCTCCATACTGCTTTTCTCAATGGTTGAACTAATTTACACTTCCACCAAGGGTGTATAAGTGTTCCCTTTTCTCCACAACCTCACCAGCATCTGTTATTTTTTGACTTTTTAATAATAGCCATTTGGACAGTGAGATGTCATCTCACTGTGGCTTTGATTTGCATTTCTCTAATTATCAGGGATATTGAGCTTTTTCTCAAATGCTTGTTGGCCACTTGAATGTCTTCTTTAGAAAAGTTTCTGTTCACGTCTTTCATCCACTTTTTTATAGGGTCGCTTGTTTTTTCTTATAAATTTGTATAAGTTCCTTATAGATGCTGTAAATTAGACCTTTATCAGATGCATAGTTTGCAAAAATCTTCTCTCATTCTATAGGTTGTCTGTTTATTCTGTTGACAGTTTCCTTTGCTTTAGAGAAGCTGTTACATTTAATTAGATCCCATTTGTCAATTTTTGCTTTTGTTGTGATTGCTTTTGTTGCCTTTGTCATGAATAATTTGCCCTTTCCTATGTTTGGAATGGTATTGCCTAGGTTTTCTTTTAGGGTTTTTATAGTTTTGGGTTTTACACTTAAGTCTTTAATCCATCTTGAGTTGATTTTTGTGTATGGTGTAAGGAAGGGGTCCAACTTCATTCTTCTGCATATGGTTAGCCAGTGATCCCAGCACCATTTATTCAATAGGGAGTCTTTTCCTCATTGCTTGATTTTGTCAGCTTTGTCAAAGATTAGGTAGTTGTAGGTGTGCAGCCTTGTTTCTGGGATCTCTATTCTGTTCTGTTGGTCTATGTGCCTGCTTTTGTGCTAGTGCCATGCTGTGTGGGTTACTGTAGCCTTGTAGTATAGTTTGAAGTCAGGTACTATGATGCCTCCAGCTTTGTTTTCTTTTTCTTAGGATTGCCTTGGCTATTTGGGCTCTTTTTGGTACCATATGAATTTTAAAATAGTTTTTTCTAGTTCTGTGAAGAATGTCATTGATAGTTTGATGGGAATAGCATTGAATCTTTAATTTCCTTTGGGCAGTATGGCCGTTTCTTTGGGCAGTGTTTTGTAATTCTCTTTGTAGTGATCATTCACCTCCTTGGTTAGCTGTATTGTTAAGTATTTTATTCTTTTTGTGGCAACTGTGAATAGGATTCCCTTTCTAATTTGGCCCTTGACTTGGTTGTTGTTGGTGTATAGGACTGCTAGTGATTTTGGTACATTGATTTTGTGTTCTAGAAACTTTGCTGAAGTTGCTTATCAGCTGGAGAAGCTTTTGGGCCAAGACTTTAGGGTTTTCTAGATGTAGAATCATGTCATCTGCAAACAGAGACAGTTTGACTTCCTCCCTTCCTATTTGGATACCATTATTTCTTTCTCCTGCCTGATTGCTCTGGCTGGGACTTCCAATACTATGCTGAAAAGGAGTGGCAATAGAAGGCTTACTTGTCTATTGGTAATGTATCATTCTAACAGACTTTTACTAGTTTTTCAAATATTATCCAACAGATGGCTCAAATTCTGCTCCTATTTTAACCTCTTTCAAGAAAAATTCCACACAAATAATCATCTTTAAATTCATTTGATATAAAAGAAAAAATGCTCAACCTAATGAGTTTAATATTAGCAGAAATATTTAGTTAATTCACTTTTCAAACAAAAAAACCCCACAAAATCAAAATAAATACAGTTGCTTTGAAGTCAATTGTGTTGAATGTGTTTGACTGTGCATAAGCTGTTTTCACGTTAGCCTATTCACTTTTTCCTCTCAGCAGTAAAGGGGCCTACAGTGATAGGCCAAAAAACCCAAGGAAGAATGAAGTCAGTCAATATTCCAAGAAATTTCAAAAGCAAGAGATGAATTATAACCCTAAAAAAACTAAATACTTGGTATTTTCCACTCAAGTATATAGAAATCCATCTATTTATCATGCAGAATCTTACTAATGACTCTAGAAAATTTAGTCTTATTTTGACTAAATGATCTGACTTCATTTTTCTTAAAACCTGATTGAATTTGTAAGTATAATGCAACAAAAATAAACTGCAATATATGAAGTTATTGTGAGTTAAAAAATGGTTGTTCTTTTTATATCAGTTATCACCTTGATACCTAGGAAACTTAAGAATCATCTTAGACAACTGTAAAATGTTTAAATATTTTCATTTTTAATTATT
Organism: Homo sapiens; assembly: GCF_000001405.40. Taxonomy (NCBI): domain Eukaryota; kingdom Metazoa; phylum Chordata; class Mammalia; order Primates; family Hominidae; genus Homo; species Homo sapiens. Next base: position 84,847,478 of record NC_000023.11, on the reverse strand, counting down.
AGGAATACATAATAGTTGCATACATTTATGAGGTTGACAAAAGATGGAAGTATATGTAGAATATTTTCCAAGAATGTAGTTGCATAAAAACTGACAAACTTTCTTTTTTTTTTCAGGGAAAAACACGCATGCATTTATTTTTAAGAATTACCAATAAGTGGGGAAAAATTCAACATCTTTAAAAATGTATTTATTTTTTAAAAAATCACTTGTGTACAAAAGTGTTTCATAGTTTTTAATTCTCAAGACAAGTACCCCAACCCTCCACCCACAGCCCACCCTGCTTCAGTGGTATTTCTGACAACCCACCCAGTTTCCCCTTAAAGGAAGCTAACGGCTCGGAATAGACCCTCCTACAGAATTTATCATTACTAACCGATTGTTTAGAATAAAGATCTAGAGAAGGTACCAGGCAAGGTTCCCTATAATGGCAGTAGACTTCAAGCAGACACCACCAGAAAGCACCATGAATTGCCGAAAGTTAAAAAATGGATATTATTTTCAATAGTATTTCATTTTCTATTGGAAAAGTTTTTTAAATTACATTAAATAAGTTTCTTTTCCCCCAAAGAAATAGTCTAGCTTTTATTATGATGCCTGTAAAAAGTAGGTAACAGCAAGCAGACAAGGATCGTTAACAGCACAATGAAATGATTTCTATCCACTCACACCTGGAATCAAACTGACAAACTGTGCCACACCTGATTATATATAGCAGCATGGTTGAAATAACCAAGCAAAGGTTAAACATTCAAAACTTCCATTTAGGTGATTGCAAGTTCATGAGGGTAGATCAGTCCAATAAAGCAGTAACAGAGCAAATGGCACAGAGGAGATACTAACACTCACCTACCCCTATGCCACAAGATTTTTAATCTATATTGCAGCAGTGTAAATAGAACATGTGATGTAATATGTAGACACTGAAGAAAAGTCATATTTGTGAATAAAGGCAATTTAAAAAACTGACAAACTTTTTAGATCACAGACCATAGGCCTCATATATTAACTGAGACATTATTCTGAGCAAAAATGAAGGGCAGAAACCAGAAATAAGAAGTCAGTCATGTCTCCATCTTTCATGTTTACCCAACTATCCCTGAATAAGTGGTTTTTAAGGTGTGGATTTTGTATGTGCTCAAAGGTGAGCAAGAGATAAAATGAGGGATTAGGGAAAGGAGAGCGAAAGGACTTGCAGTATTTATTCATTTGGGGTTAAGATGCTAGATACTTTAAAATGTAATTCTGGAAGAGGTAACATACAAAGCCATTACCTACCATCAATAAAGGAGTGTGAATCAGTAGGTTATATTTTCTTTAATGGGCAATTGTGAGAGCAGAATTTGGGACAGTAGCTGCACATAGTACTTCTGGTGGAATAGCATTTTGAGTGTTGGTTATGAAGGACTAAAGATACCCCAGATAGTTTTAATAAGAGTATTCCTTACCACTAGAAAGTTCCTTACCATTTTCAATTTGAAGGCTATTAGCACCAGAGTGTCTAATTTAGGAAGCAGAACATCAGATTTTAAAAGTTAGCATACATCACTCCCTGAAATCATATATTTATTTATATGCTTATTGTATCTTTATATCTTTATCATTATATCTTTATATATAAGTACTTGCTTATTGTATCTTTCCTCTTTTAAAACTTAAATCTGAGAGCTTAAGATCAGGGACTTTGTTTTGTTTGCCACTGTATTCCCAGCACCTAGAGGAGTATCTGCCACATATATGAATTTGAAAAATATTTTTTGAGTGTGTGAATTAAGTTAAATTATGGACCTATTACTCTTTTAATGCAATGTAATTTTTACATGTGTTTTGCAAGCCTTCTTTTAGATGTCTCCCTAGAGACTTGTTAAATGGCTTTCAACAAAATGCTGATAATGATGTGGACAATGAAATCCAGGCTGAGGTGATCTCAGATGGAGATGAGGAACTTGTTGGTAACTGGAAAAAAGGTGACTCTCATTATGTTTTAGCAAAGAGACTGGCAGCATTTTGCCCTTCTCCTAAAGATTTGTGGACCTTTGTACTTGAGAGAGCTGATTTAGGGTATCGGGGGAAGAAATATCTAAGCATCAAAGCAATCAAGAGGTGACTTGTGTGCTGTTTAAAGCATTCAGTTTTAAAAGGGAAACAGCATAAAAAGTTTGGAAAATTTGCAACCTGACAATGCTATAGAAAAGAAAATCCCATTTTCTGAGGAGAAATTCAAGTGGGCTACAGAAATCTGCATAAGTAACAAGGAGCCAAATAGTAATCCTCAAGACAATGGGGAAAATGTCTCCAGGGCATGTCAGAGGTCTTCACAGCAGCCCCTCCCATTACAGGCCTGGAGGCCTAGGAAGAAAAAGTGGTCTCCTGGGCTGGGCCCAGGGTCTCCCTGCTTGTGCAGCCTAGGGACTTGGTGCTGTGCATCACAGCTGCTCCAGCTGTGCCTGAAAGGAGCAAATGTAGAGCTTGGGTCATGGCTTCAGAGGGTGCAAGCCCCAAGCCTTGGCAGCTTCCATGTGGTGTTGAGCCTGCGAGTGCACAGAAGTCAAGAATTGTGGTTTGGGAACTTCCGTCTAGATTTCACAAGATGTATGGAAATGCCTGGATACCCAGGCAGAAGATTGCTGCAGGGGCAGGGCCCTCATGGAGAACCTCTGCTCTGACAGTGCGGAAGGGAAATGTGGGGTTGGAGTCCCCACACAGAGTCCCTACTGGAGTACTGCCTAGTGGAGCTGTGAGAAAAGGACCACCATCCTTCAGACCCCAGAATGGTAGATCCACTGACAGCTTGCACCGTGCACCTGGAAAAGCCGCAGACACTCAACGCCAGCCATCAAGGCAGCCAGAGGGAGGCTGTACCTTGCAAAGCCATGTGGGCAGAGCTGCCCAAGAGCATGGGAACCTACCTCTTGCATCAGCCCGGGAATGGACTAATACAATAATAATTCATAAATGTAAGATAGCAGGTACTTACATAACTAATCCAATTTTTACATATATAAAATAAAGTGTTAAAATTAGAAGACAATACAAACTAAACAAGCAATTACCTTTTAAAAAAAAAACTTATCAGCAATCAGTATAGATGGCATTAAAGCAAATCTAAATAACGATTCTGAGCCCAGATCACATTTAGGAGCTCTTAGAATTCTTGTTCTGTTGAGTGAAACCCACTCTGTCCACACAGAAGCTGCACTGTATTTTGTTTTAATAATACATGAAAGATATAATTTGACACCTTAAATGAGGCATTGTTTGACTTCCCTCAAGAATAGTAATAATTTCTTTTAAAATTCAATGCATACAATAATTGTTGTCCTTTTAGTGTTACTCTCTTGGCTAAGTAGTTACAATGTGCCAGTTCTAAAGCAGTCTTTCAAATAACTCACATGTATTTCTGAAATCTTTTTTTTAATTATACTTTAAGTTCTAGGGTACATGTGCACAGCATGCAGACTTGTTACATAGGTATACATGTGCCATGTTGGTTTGCTGCACCCATCAACTCGTCATTTACATTAGGTATTTCTCCTAATGGTATCCCTCCCCGAGCCCCTCACCCCCCAACAGGCCCCGGTGTGTGATGTTCCCCACCCTGTGTCCAAGTGTTCTCATTGTTCAATTCCCACCTATGAGTGAGAACATGTGGTGTTTGGTTTTCTGTCCTTGTGACAGTTTGCTGAGGATGATGATTTCCAGCTTCATCCATGTCCCTGTAAAGGACATGAACTCATCCTTTTTTATGGCTACATAGTATTCCATGGTGTATATGTGCCACCAGAAGAAATAAATGTCTTTATTTTAAACGAATTTTAAATTGGAAAATGGCTAGCATTTGGGGTTTGGATATAGTTTGGCAGCTTTACCAATTCTGCTTTCTTCCTTGACAGTGCTTGACTGTTAGATTTTTCAACCTCAGCACTATTGACATTTCAGACAAGATAATTTTTTTTTGTAGGAGGGGCAGTCCTGTGCATTGTAATGTGCCTTAGCTGCATCCTTGACCTTTATCTATATGCCAGTAGTATATCCCCAAATTATAACAACCGAACATATCTCCAGACATTGCCAAATGTCTCCTGGGTGAGCAAAATTAACCCCACTGAGAACTGCTGGACTAAAGAAGCTCGATGTACAGAAAAGAAAACTCAAGTGTGAAAAAAAAGCACTACTTCATTAATAATGGGCAAATCCTTAAAAAAACTCCAGCTTCATATCTCTATTCTCCCTGGTAAACTGTGCTGGAGTACTTGGCTTAGGAAAGGAAGCCTAAATGAGGTTTTTCAGTTACCTCTTCATGAAATACTTACTGCACTGGAAGCAGAGGACAAAAGAGGTAAGTTGTAAACTTGCCCAAGAGATCTAGGACCTCTTTCAGCACCAATCTGACGGTAAAGAGGATGTAGAAGAAAGGAAAGACATCATGGGTGTGTCACTTTAAATCTTTTCAATTGTTCAGCAATCATGATTTTTTATTTCCAAGAGTTCTTTCTTGATCCCTGGTTGTTTTTTCCATAACAAAAAAAAATTGTTTAATGTTCTGTGTTCCCTGAATATCGCTCTTTTCTCTGAGTCAATTTTTCTATTTATCTTGTTCTGTCTCTTCCATGTCATTTGTTTTGGCAGTTACACCTTATTCTAAAAATAAAAAAAAAAAAGTTGGGGAAAAAAGCACTGGCATTTTCTATTTAAGACCAAGAAAATAGGAATATTTACTTTGACTGTTGTGTCAATGAGTGGTTCTTGATAACTGGCAGGTTTTGTTTCGGGGCAGGAGTTCACAAACTGGGGTCCACAGATGCTCAAACATGCTATCATGAATAGAATTCAGGGGATCCCATGACCTTGGACAGTTAAAAAATACATCTTATGGCCAGGCTTGGTGGCTCACGCCTGCAATCCCAGCACTTTGGGAGGCCGAGGCGGGCAGATCACGAGGTCAGGAGATCGAGACCATCCTGGTAACATGGTGAAATGCTGTCTTTACTAAAAATAAAAAAAAAGAAAAAATTAGCCAGGCGTGGTGGTGGGCACCTGTAGTCCCAGCTACTCGGGAGGCTGAGGCAGGAGAATGGTGTGAACCTAGGATGCAGAGCTTGCAGCGAGCCGAGATCGTGCCACTGCACTCCAGCCTGGGTGATAGAGGAAGACTCCGTCTCAAAAAAACAAACAAAAACAAACAAAAAACAAAAACAAACAAAAACCCATCTTTTATATTCTTTTATCTCTACCTGAAATGTATTGTTTCTTTCTACTGTGAATGAATAAAGCAATAAACCAAAATAATTTTAGCAATACTCGTGACCTTTTCTTACCAAAGTTACAAATATTTTCGTATTATATTACAGTTACTGAAAATGCTTTAAAATATCATTTAGATTCACAGCTATTTCAAAATTACAGTTATTACGCTTGCTGGTAAATTTTGTTATTTGATTGCAAATTATTTTTTCAGTATTTTGATAACGATTTCAAGATAAATTATTTCCTTTGTAATCCCATGCATTTTATTTCATGCATTTAAAAATATTATTCTGAAAATGGGTTCATAAATTTTGCCAGACTGTGTGAAGAATTCCATGGCCCAAAAACCTTGATTTAAGGCATTTAGGGAGAGATGAGGAGCTTCAACATAGTTTGGGAGCTCTCAAAATATCAGAATAATGCCATAATAAAATATTGCATGTATGTTGTTTAAAAACTTAATCATTTGAAGTATATATTATATCTTTGTAATCATTTGAAATGCACATTATATCATTGGGCTTTCCATCTTGATATATTTCTGTTTTGGCTTCTTTTTTTTTTAAACATTATCAACTGCTATAATTTTGAGTAATAATATTACTTGACATTATTTATTGAGTACCTGCTATGTGCCAGGCATAATATTAAGTGCATTATGAATATTGTTTTCCTTACTATGTTAACATGGAAAAATCACTGGACCAGGGATAAAAAAAGTATTGATAAAATAGTTTTTTCTGTTCTGCCACTAACTGTGATTTTGGACAAATCACTGTTTCATTGTAAAATTAATTTTTCATCTATAAAATGGGAAGAATTACATCTGTTATACCTACTTTATGGGATATTTGGATGGTCAGATGAAAAAATGAATATGAAATGTCTGTACACTCTTTGAAGGCTTTATGCTTTTAAAAGTTGGTAATTTAAAATTCTATACAATTGAATTTTGTCTCCTTTTAAAAATAAAAAAATTGTCATTGCTGACATAGACATGCAGAAATATCTAGAAAAATTTGAACTAAAAATCATAAGGCAGAAAACTTCCTTCATTTCTTTAAGAAAATTGGACTTTCTTAAACTTCTTTAAAAATAGTAAAACTTTAGTCTCAATTATGAATGTTTAGATTTGGGCATCAAATGTTAGGTAATATTAAAAGCACTGTAGCTAAATATACTACTCAATTTTTTTTAATACAGGCAAATCTAACTTCATGTACAGAAACAAAATTTTTACTTTATTGAGTAAACTGGACGTGTAACTTGATATGTCACTCAGGCTATTAATTACTAAGACATATATAAATACTTTGGTGAAATGCTGCAAGTTAAATATACCCTCTTACTAGTCTGGATATATCAGTGTAATTGTTATTGTTACAAATATTTTAAACCGCAATTTTATTTTTATTTTAACATTAGTGGTCAATCTTGTTTTATCATGTACCTAAAATTATTGAGTTTGTGTGTGTGCTACACACATAAGTTTAGAAAAGCTCATAGTAGGAAATAATAGCTGCCTATCAGAAACCAATGTATTTAGAAAGAAAAGGAACCGGTTGAGGAGCTAAAATAGTAATATAACTAACAAAAATCGAGGGGAGGAATTAAGAAAGACAACACAATGTAGGTGTGCTATATTTCCTCTCTTTCATAGCAAAATTAGAAGTCAACAGATCTTGTGTAGAGGTGATAGATCAAGGCTAGAGGCAAAGTATATTACGGTATGAAGACAACCACAAGAACTAAAAGTAGAAACTCTTAATGGTGTTTATTTATGTGTAGTGAGGCTAACGGTGATGGGTATGTGGCAGGAGAATCTTAGATTTTGCTACTGGTACTTTTATTAATCTTGTTATAAAAATTCAAAATATGATATAGTAAAAAGTTTCCATAAAATATATAAAAGACCAAAATTGGCTCAAGAAAAATCAGGAAATATTCATACACCAATGACCAAAAAAAAAAAAAATGGAAAAATTATTATAGTTATCTCCTACAAAAGAGACTGGCACAAAAGTTTTTATGAACCATATTTTCTCACACTGTAATAGATCATTCTAATGCTATGCAAGCTTTTTTGAATTAGCATAACCTTGCTACCAAAAACAAAACAAAAAATAAACTACCAGCATGGTCAATTATAAATATAAATGCAAAGAGGTGGAATGTACAGAAGAAAATTTACTCCAGTAATGTATTTTTTTGAAAGTTCAGGGATACAAGTGCAGGTTTGTCACATGGTAAACTTGTCTCATGGTGTTTTGTTGTACATATTATTTCATCACCCAGCTATTAAGCCTAGTACCCATTAGTAATTTTTCCTGATCTTCTCCTTTCTGCCACCTTCCACCCTCCAAAAGGCCCCAGTGTCTGTAGTTCTCCTCTATATGCCAAGGTGTTCTCATCACTTAGCTCCCACTTATAAGAGAGAACATGCAGTATTTGGTTTTCTATTCCTGCATTAGTTTGCTAAGGATAATGGCCTCCAGGTCCCTCCATGTTGCTCCAAAGCACATGATCTTGTTTTTTATGGCTGTATAGTATTCCATGGTGTATATGTACCACATTTTCATTATCCAGTCTATCACTGGTGGACATTTAGGTTGATGCCATGTCTTTGCTATAGTGACTAGTGCTTCAGTGAACATACTACTGCATGATAAAATGATTTATATGCCTTTGGGTACATGCCTAGTAATGAGATTTGTAGGTCTAGTGGTATTTCTGTCTTTAGGTCTTTGATGAATCGCCACAGTGTCTTCCTCAATGGCTGAACTAATTTACACACTCAACAACAGAGTATAAGCATTCCTTTTCTCCACAATTTCACAAGCATCAGTTATTTTTTTTCACTTTTTAATACTAGCCATTCAGACTGGTGTGAGATAATATCTCACCATGGTTTTCATTTGCCTTTCTCTAATAATCAGTGATGTTGAGCATTTTTTCATATGCTTGTTGGCCACATGTATGTCTTCTTTTGAAAAGTGTCTGTTCGTGTCCTTTGTCCACTTTTTAACATGGTTTTTTTTTTTTTTTTTAATTTGTTTAAGCTCCTTATAGATGCTGGATATTAGACCTTTGTTGAATGCATAGTTTGCTAAGGTTTTCTCCCATTCCATAGGTTGTCTATTTACTCAGCTAATAGTTGCTTTTGCTGTGCAGAAGCTTTAGTTTAATTAGAATCCATCTGTCAATTTTTGCTTTTGTTACAATTGTTTTTGGTGTCTCTGTCACGAAATCTTTTCCTGTGCCTATGTACTGAATGGTATTGCCTATGTTGTTTTTCAGGGTTTTTCATAGTTTGGGATTTTACATTTAAGTTTTTAGTCCATCTTGAATTGATTTTTGTATATGGTGTAAAGAAGGGGTCCAGCTACAATTTTCTGATAGAATTTGTCAGTGAAATTATTTCAGACTAAAGATAATTTTTGTGAGGTTTTCAAGTTACAAATTAAATTTCTTAATAGACATAGGACTATTTCAAGTATCTGTTTTATTTTGAATAATCTGTGGTATTTCGTACTTTTTCAGCCAATCAGTCAACTTTATTTAAGTTGTCAAATTTATTTGTGTTGAGTTGTTCATAGTATTCCCTTCTTATCCTTTTGATGTCTGCACCTGCTGGCATTTCCAAGTTGTTGGTTCCTCCAGCAACTAGTTCAGGATATAAAAAGCATAAGAAAATTCAGGGTGCTCACCACTGTGTTGTTCCTCGGGTCTTGAGGTTCCTAACTGATCTTCGTTCCTCTCTCCACTTTTCAGAATCTTACTGGTTGTTGTATCTATTTTCAGTGTTGTTAGTTGTACTTACTGGACAAAATATGGAAAAAAACATTTTATCTTCTTGGAAGTAAAAGCCCTCAAAAAACTTTAAGCCACATATATAATTGTGTCATATTCTACTTAAATCCTTAAATTATTTCACACAGCTTTTAAAATAAATATCAAAAACTTTAACAAAGACATGTTCCTGTATTGTTTGGCCCTGCCTACCTATAAAGACCAATTTTGAACTGTCTTTCTCTCTATACTCTTACGCTTCTGGCTGTTTTGCAGTACTACCACCAATCTGCCATTTTACCATCTGCCATAGGGTATTTGCACATGTTCCCTCCACCTTAAATGCTCCATGCCCACCCACTTACCCATACAGCTCCTTATCAAGTTTACTTCTTTTTTTCATTCACTCTCAGATTTGTTGCTTCCTCAGGGATATCTTTCCTGACAGTCCCCCCACCGTCATCACCTCTGAGACATACACACAATTCTAGGTCAGGTTTCTTGTTATATATTTTTATATAACTGAGTAACTTTCCTTTAAACAACTTACCTCAGTTTGTAATTACACACATTTATATGTGTAATGTAAAACAATTAATGTTTGTTTCACTGGCTACAATGTCTATGTCTATGCCATGAAAGCAAGGACTATGTCTGTTCTTCCAAACCTTTGCATCCCTATGTCTGGCAAAATATATGCATCATTAATAGCAAGTAAATGGTCATTAATCTCTGGCTGTTGATATAAAAGGAAGATAATTTGGGCATAGAGAGCAGAAAGGACAGTCTCCTAATGCAGAGTGTTAATGTGGGAGATCCAGAATAAAGAATCTTTCTTTTTTTCTGCAAGTGGCTTCCATGATCCACTACTTTTAGTAGTAAAAGAGAAAGTGAAAAGGTATTTATGGAATAGATAGAATCACTTTCTACATCTAACCTGTTAAGATGCCTTAGTGTCCTACACGATATTTTTTTATTTTTAATTTTTTGGGTACATACTAGGTGTATATATTAATGTAGTACACGAGATACCCTAATACAGACATGTAATACATAATAATCACATCATGCAAAATGGGGTATTCATCGCCTGGAGCATTTATCCTTTGTGTTTCAAGCACTCCAATTCTACTATTTTGGTTATTTTCAAAGTACGATTAAATTATTATTGACTATAGTCACCCTGTTGTGCTATCAAATATTCAAAACTTATTTTTTTCACTATTTTTATTTTATACCCATTAATCATCCCCTTTCTCCTCCCACTACCTTTCCCGTCCTCTGGTAACCATCCTTCTGCTCTCTATCTCCATGGGTTTAATTGTTTAGATTTTTAGCTCCCTCAAATAAGTAATAGCATGTGAAGTTTTTCTTTCTGTGACAGACTTATTTCACTTAACATAATGACCTACCATATTGTTGCAAACAACAAGATCTCATTCTTTTTTAATGGCTGCATAGTACTCCTATGTGTGCATCAACAGATGGTTGGATAAAGAAAATGTGATACATATACCCAATGAAGTATTATGTAGCTTCCTACATTTTTTTAACCAGACATTCCCCTCCTTTCCCCATAGACACCTGTCCCCTTGGGTCCTCAGACTGCTAGAAAAAGTTCATATTGATTTTGAACATTAAATTATAGACAAAGCTCAATTGGGAAATATTGGGACAAATTCTTTTTTTCTCTAGAACAATTAATTTCTATTCATAGTTGGAGCCTTTGTCTATGACATTAATTCTGACTTTTCAGATTAGTATAATCTAACATTCAATTAATTATATGCTTAGTGCTGTTCAATGACTTAAGTTCATGTCAGAAGCAGAATTTATCTATTCTTAAAAATTACATATATTCTTGCATATAACCTTTAGAAACACTGAGACTATCTCTATGTTAAGTGACTATTTTATTAAGGAAGGAATTGGATTGGATGTCTTTTAAAAAAAGGTGTGCTTATATAACTGTATCAGTCAGTGTTCTCTAGAGGGACAGAACTAATGGAATACATATACACATAAAGGAGAGTTTATTAAGTATGAACTCACATGACCACAGGGTCCCACAGTAGGCTGTCTGCAGACTGAGGAGCAAGGAGAGCTAGTCTGAGTTCCAGAACTGAAGAACTTGGAGTCCAGTGTTCGAGGGGCAAGAAGCATTCAGCACAGGAGAAAGATGTAGGCTGGGAGGCTAGGCGAGTCTCTCTTTTCACAGTTTTCTGCCTGCTTATATTCTAGCCACACTGGCAGCTAATTAGATTGTGCCCACCCAGATTAAGGGTGGGTCCGCCTTTCCCAGCCCACTGACTCAAATGTTAATCTCCTTTGGCAACACCCTCACAGACACACCCAGGATCAATACTTTGTATCCTTCAATCCAGTCAAGTTGACACTTGGTATTAACCATCACAAAAACTCAATCAAATTCTTGCATCTTTTATTATGAATATTGATTTTAGGTCAGTGAGCAAAATTAATGAGTGTGTTTATATGTCAAAGTATGATAAATTGAGAATGTTTCCCTGTGCAGATATAACAATGACAAAAAAATGAAGTCCTCAACAGGAAAACGGAAAATAGGTATTCTTATGAGATGATACTAACAAAACAAATGTTGTAAAAATGAAGTATTTTCCCCAAATTGTAATAAAAACCTAACATTATTTAGTAACTTGGTGGTGGTGATTTTTTATTGTATTCTTGGATTCAAAAAAGAAATATTGGTTGCCCATTATGTGACAAGAAATTATTATAGTTTCACATTTTTTTGTTTGAACACATTTCAGTCATTATTGACTTTGTGCAGGTAAGAGGCATTCCCCGACTCTCCTACACTAGACATGACTCCAAAAGACAGTACAGATAAAAAAGGCAAGTCCGTCCATCAATGTTCATCCAGCCGTGCTTTGTGACTCTGTTTATTTGCAGCATTAATTTCCTTCTTAGAAAAATAAAAAAATACATAATTGATTTATCTCATTATTAGACTTCATGAAACACGCTGGGGTAGACAACTGTATCATCTTACTCAATTTATTTTTACTTACAGGCTATCTTCGTTTCTTTTATTATTTTATTTTAATTTTAAAATTATAAAGGTAATCGGCAAATGGTAAAATATTTATACAAAAACATTCAAATAATATAGAAGTATAAAATGTAAATAGCAAATAATGTTCTCTCTTCCCTAATATTAATAATTTGGTGTGCAACCTTACAAACTTCTTTAAATATATACACACGATGACTTTTTAAAATAATTTTTATAAAAATATGCAACAGTTAGAAAAAATAGTGAATCTGTATGAATTGTTATGGAAGGATGTTCTCAACATCATAATGATAGTAAAAAAAAAAGTAACTTGTAGAACAGCATAGAAAATATTTGTGTAGATTTTACCATCAAAATTGAGAATCCCCTTCTATTTTGATTTCTGTCAGTAGTAGACCTAAGGGACAGGTAAAGACAGATTTTAACATTTAGGGAAAAGCAATCCAGAAATGGCTTCATTCAACAAATGAAAAAATTAGTTATAAGTTTGAGAGTAAATGTTCTCATGCTTTCCCAAGTGCAAATGCCTAACCCTTAATTTTTCACAAAATGTCCAGAAGTGGCAATAGAAAAATTGCTGTCTATGAGTTTACAAAACAGAACTTTAGAACCAAATCTGGAGCCGCCTTTCACATGGTTAATTTTCACAGATAAAATGAGAACAGAAAAAGAGAGAGAGAGAGGGAGAGACAGAGAGATGTAGAGAGAGCGAGAGAGGCCTAGTTTCTTGGCAAGTTACTTAAATATCTATGTGTATGTACTTAAATATGTATGTTTGTGTCTCTCTCTCTCTCTATATATATGCATGCACACACATACTACTAAGAATCAATTGAGAAATTTTATTGTATTGATTATATGACATTGAAAAAAGTGTCTTCTTATCCTCAAGTGGTTAAAAAACTATTTATTAAAGTTGATGTTACAGAAAATAAATAAACTAATAAATATTTATGGGCTTCTATAATGAAGGTAATATATACACACGCATTTCACTTTGTGACTAAGGTGAATTATGATGAATCAAATTTTGTATATTCAATACAAATTGACAGTCATAAATTAATTAATATATTCTATGAAACAAGGTTAAACAAACTAGTAATGGCCACTGAGCTGAATATCAATTGCTGTAAATGTTTAATGGTGGTTCATATAATTTTTAATCATCGGCTTATAATTAGGTAATAGTGTTTACAAAGAATGTTCTGGGATTTAGAAATCAATGTATATTGTCACTTTATTTAAGAGTATAATATCCTGCCAGGTGCAGTAGCTCACGCCTGTAATCCCAGCACTTTGGGAGGCCGAGGCAGGTGGATCACGAGGTCAAGAGATCAAGACCATCCTGGCTAACGTGGTGAAACCCCGTCTCTACTAAAAATACAAAAAAAAATTAGCCGGGCGTGGTGGCGGGTGCCTGTAGTCCCAGCTACTCGGGAGGCTGAGGCAGGAAAATGGCATGAACCCGGGAGGCGGAGCTTGCAGTAAGCAGAGATCGCACCACTAGACTCCAGCCTGGGCGACAGAGCAAGACTCCGCCTCAAAAAAAAAAAAGAAAAAGAAAAAAGAAGAAAAAGAAAAGAATAATATCCTATAGTTATAAAGAGCATTCATTGCAGTGGTATATCCAGACATGATGTAGAAATATCTCATAATCAGCCAGGCGTGGTGGCTCATGCCTGTAATACCAGCACTTTGGGAGGCCAAGGCGGGTGGCTCACTTGAGGCCAGGAGTTTGAGACCAGCCTGGCCAACATGGTGAAACCCCGTCTCTACTAAAAATACAAAAAATAGCCAGGCATGGTGGCATGTGCCTGTAGTCCCAGTTACTTGGGAGGCTGAAGCAGGAGAATTGCTTAAACCCAGGAGACAGAGCTTGCGGTGAGCTGAGATCGTGCCACTGCACTCCAGCCTGGGTGACTAAGCAAGACTCGGTCTCGAAAAAAAGTAATATATATATATATATAAAATAAAAATAAATATCTCATAATCAAAAAGAAAGCATACTTGCAAAAAAAAAATTTGAAGTCGGGTTGCCCAGTGTGATACATTTTGTGACTCAGCAAATATTTCTTCTCCTTTCTCTTTGTAGGACAAGTGTATATTTCTCTGCTTTATTGATGTTGGGTTTGGCCCTAGTGATTTCCATTGGTGAAAGGAAAGTGAGTGGAAATCTGAGCAGAAGCCTTAAATATGTAGTATAGGTTGGCCACTTGTGCTCCTATCATCTTCCATAAAAATGTCATATCCCAAATAAGGGATAGCTCCTTCAGTATGAGTCTTGAAACAGAAATAAATATGGAGGAGACCAGAAACCAACCTATAGCCTGAACAGAGTCACCTTAGCTGAACCACAGCCTTGTGAATAAAAAATAAATATATATTTTTTGTTGTGAGTCACCGAGATTTGGGGGTTATTTGTTATGCAGCATTATTAAAGCAAAAGTCTACTAATAAAATAACACCCACTATTTAATCCAGAATGTTAATCTATTGAAGTCCTCGTTAATGTCAATGAAGATCTGAGGGAATGGGTAAATCAACATCTCTAAGTTGACTGTGTAAATTAGTGGTAAATTCAAAAGCTAGTTCAGCTATGACCCTCAATCTTCTTTTTCAAATTAGAAGGTTAACCAAGGGAGTTAAATGTTCACACTGTGGAAGGTATTTAATTCGTTCAACCATTGTACCATATAAATGAGAATGGCTTAGTGTTTTTAATACCAGAAACAGAAAAATACAGGTTAAATATCTAAAGATTAGATAAATTTTTTGACCATAAGTGTTAGTCACTATGATAAGTAATACCGAGAGTCTATGTATTGTATAGTGCCTAGCACAGTGCAAGATGTATAATAAGTATGGATAAATTAAAAATCTGCTGGAAATATTTAAGAAGATACATACTACTTTAATTGGAGGTAGAACATTAAATTATTATCTAGTTACTTCTGGGTATGGAGCTCAGTAATTGATGGCCACTGCTCTTGGGAGTTTATCCTAGTCTCTAGGTCAGCTATTCATTCAAAAAAATTCATGGAATAACTGGGGAGGAGATACTACAACCCATCAGGGGAAACTATTGGTTAATTGTGCTTGATTACAGACTTACCAAGATCTTCACACCTGTCAGATCTCTTTTGGAGCAGGGAGAGAAGTGAGTGAACTCAGAACCACCCTCTGTTCCTAAGGGGCTCAGGGAGTGTTTTCCAGACTCAGAAAAAAAAAATGTCTTTTAGGCTTTTCCTGGCTTTGACTTGTACCTTGAGGTAAATACAAGCTTTAAAAATTGTTTTCTTTTAAATAATTAAACTATTTTGTAAGAAAACATTGAGGATTGGGGTTAGAAGATAAGTTTGAGACAGATGATTAGCAAAAACAATTAGAAGTGGGGAGTAAATTTTGAAGTATTGTGAAAGGATGAATAACATATAAACATTATTTAGAGTTAAATAATAATTCATTAGAAGTTATTTAAATACATTTTATTTATTTTCTAATTAGTTTCCAGTGCATGGACTAATTAACTCAAATTCTTATGACATCAGTAAATAACTATGCAGACTAAAACATACATGGCAATTTGCAATAACATTTAAAAGTGGAGGCACCAGAAATCTTTTCCAAATCTTTGTACCATTTTCTTAAAGAAGACATTATTGGGAAGACACTTGCATATGATTGTCTGAAACTTTTGCAAGTTTTTCTACTTAAAGTAAAAAATTAAAAAAATTGAATTGTAAGTTAACTTAAATCAATGACATAATATTTAAAGAACAGGTAAGCATAAAGAGAAGAAAGAGGAAGATCTTTCCTTTTATAAAAAGGAGCTGAGATAATTTTATGTGTTGCAAAAAGAATAGAAGACATAGCTATCTGGGTCAAATCAGGTTTTCATTTGTTGTACATAACATGAAAAATGAGTTTGAAGTATTGAAAGATGCTAAGTTGATCTGTGTAGTAATGAGCCAAGTCATAGTAAGGGTGAGATGAGGTGAGAGGAAAACTAGGCAACTTGGGTTCTGAGGGAGATTTATGGGAAGTTTTGAGAAGAAGAAGAGACATTTTTTAGCACTCCACCTATGGGAAAGTTATTTGAAGTGAAATGTCCAAAAAAGAAGTTTGAGGTTTTGGTAAGCCTTAACAATATAAACCTCTTTTTTCTGTTCTTTGAGGGACATCCAGAAAGACTTATATTGTCTTCCAATTATTTTTTATTGCCAGACATATATTTTTGGGATGCAGAACAGTGCCAAGAGGTGCCAAGCAGCAACTTGGCTTAACAGACTAAATGCTGTTATATTACAAAAGTAGGGCAGCTTCTGAAATATTTGTTATCAAAAGCATGTGATTTTCCTGGCATATTTCCAGGAGTAAAGAAAAGGGCTTTACTTTCAGAGAAGTAATTACACTACTGAACAAGCAAGTGACTAGTGTGTGTGTGTACATTGTATTTATATAATACTAGGGGTGGTGGGAGGTGAGGGTAAGGCAAGTACAGAGATTTTTTAAAAATGTAAAAGAGATTTTAAAATTACACTACTGAACAAGCACTAAATAAGTGACCTGTGTGTGTGCGTGTGTGTGTGTATTGCATATATATAATACTAGGGGTGGTGGGAGGTGAGGGTAAGGCAAGTACAGAGATTTTCTAAAAATGTAAAAGACATTTTTAAAAAAGTAGTTTTGTGGTCAAAATATAGTTGAGCGCTCCTGTGGAAGCAGCTCGGGCAGAGCAATAAGACTCAAAGTATCCATATTCTATGGTAATTGCTGCCCATCTACCAATCGTGGTGCATTTAAAATGGGGAAAGTATTTGGCAAAATATAACCAAGTATGCTATATTTAAAGACTCTACTCATCTACTTTAACAGTCTACTACTAATTGGAAGTCTGTGCTGTGAATGAATTAACAGGTTAATAGAACATTAACAAAGCCGTTGCTCATCCTGGGAACATGTGTTAGGAAGGTCACATGCTTAACAATAACCTAGAACTGGCTGTTCTGGTATGATAAAGACAGTGCATCCATTTTTTTTTCTGCCAGATTTTGCTTTCCTAGAACTTTCTGGATCTCTATAAATTTCACTAGATCAAAAAGTCCCTCTGCTAAACAGAAAAAAAAGTTGATGGATACAGATCGAATAATCAGTTTTGTTTATTAAGTAATTAAAACTTTGACAACACTAAATGATGTTTCTGTTTCATAGCTTCTCAGGTGGTAAAGGTAAACTGGAATTACTGTAGTCAATGAGGCTGATGATACAATCTTAACCTTAAGACATATCCGGATTTGATTAATGTAAGCAAACCTATGATGTACTTTTTGTGGACATGTTGAATGATTCTGCATATAGACTTCCCATAAGTTAGATGCTTTGTCTGACTCATGGTATAAGCCTGCTCTTTCTTCTTTGGCCAAATAACCATTAAAGGCCTAATAAATGATCTGAAGAAATACTCTTTCATTGAACTGGTTACTGAAGAAGAACCGACTGAATATCCTGAAGGTCATTTAAAAAGTGAAACGTTTTACCAAGAGTGCATGGTGCAACCTTCCTGTGCAAGACTAGGAATAGAATGAAAAAATTAAAAAAAATTTTTTAAAGTAAATCTCAGAAGGTGATGTCAGCAAGGTGGTGTACCAGGGGGTTTCAGGTCCTCATTTTCCCTATAAAAACATTAAAAAAACAAGCCTAAACAAACAAAACCCTAGAGATTAGACAAAATAACTTTATAGGAGTTCTGGAAAAGAGTCAAAGGTCTACAGCAACCAAGTGATCACCTAATTAAAAAAAGAAGCCACATGCAAGTTATAGGAAATTCCACAGTGTTTTTACTTGTCCTTCCCCAGCCCCTGCATGGCACAATCTGACACAACTTAAAGGAAACAGCTTCCTTCCTCAAATATGAAAGAATGGAGGAGACTTTATCTGTAGCATTCTAATAAGTGTAGGGATGCCTTACGGACTTCTGCATGTTTTGCTTGACTTAGAGCTCAGACAGAAAATAAGTGGAAAAGCTGCAGGCAGGGTGGGCATAGCTCATGAAGGCAGCAAGCAGACTACAGACCCACAGATGATTGGGGGAAAATATTACAGTTGCAGGAATACAAAATAATATGCAAGGACCCAATAAGAAGCTGGAGTAAGAAACTGCAAAATTAAGACTTTTAACATCAACTGTGTTTATAGGAAAATTGAAAAAAGAACACACAGAGTTCCAGGCAAGACATGCTCAGAGGAGACGTAAGGAGACCTTAAGCCTTCACTCCAGCTGATCTTAAGTCTCAGAACATGCTTTGATAATTAGGAAAGGCATTACCAAGTGCAGTCAGTCTGCAAAGACTAGGAGAGGTGGCTGTATTTTCTAATGCTCAATTTTTAGGAATGACAAAATACCACATGGCATAAAATAAATAGGAATATGTGGACTATTCAAAGGAGTTAAGTGAAGTGTCAGAAACAATTCCTGAAGAAACACAAGCATTGGACATACTGGACAAATAATTTTAAATAACTTCCTTAAATGTATTCAAAGGGCTAAAAAACATGGACGATGAAGTAAAGGAAATTAGAGTAACTATATATAAACAAAATGAAACTTCAACAAAAAAAATAGAGACTATAAAAACAAGAAAAAAACCCTAGAAATTCTGGAGCTGAAAAATATATCTGAATTGTGAAATTTACTAGAGGCATGCAAACACAGACATTAACAGGAAGAAGAATAAAATAGCTGGGATACAGGATATTTGAAATTACTGAGTGAGAAGAGAAAAAAGGAAAAAATAAAGGAGAATAAACAGAGACTAATGGACTAATGGGACACCATTAAGTGAACCATCATACACATATAGGAGTATAAAAGAGAGAAGAAAGAAAGAGAAGGAGCAAAAAAAAAAAAAAATTTAAAGAAATAATAGCCAAAAACTTTCTAAATTTGAGGAAAGACACAGATCCACAAATCCAAGAAACTCAAGAAATTCAGTTGGGATAAACCAAAAGTGACCCACACTGAGATATATTATAATCAAAGTGTTGAAAGACAAAGACAAAGAGATACTCTTGAAAGCAGCAAGAGAGAAGTGATTCAACACACATGACGTATCCTCAATAATATTATCAGCATATTTTTCAGCAAAAAACCTTAGAGGCCAGAAGGCAGTGGAAAGATATATTTAAAGTTATGAAGGAAAATAACTGTCAACTGAGAATTCTACATCTGCCAAAACTTATCTTCAAAAGCAAGGGAGAAATTAAGAAATTCTCAGATAAACAAAATCTTAGAGACTTCTTATTACT
This sequence comes from Homo sapiens, assembly GCF_000001405.40. Taxonomy (NCBI): domain Eukaryota; kingdom Metazoa; phylum Chordata; class Mammalia; order Primates; family Hominidae; genus Homo; species Homo sapiens. The sequence goes on along the minus strand of NC_000023.11, from coordinate 84,828,079 downwards.
AGACCTGCCTTATGAGTAGTGCTAAAGGAAGTCCTTCAATTTGAAATGAAAGAATGCTAGACAATAATGCAAAGCCATGTAAAATATGAAGGTCCCCTGTAAAGGCTAATACATAGTCAAATATAAAACCCAGCATTTTTGTACTTTTGGTTTATAATTCCACTTTTATTTTTTACTGGATTTAAAAGGTAAATCCATGAAAATGATGATAAATCTATGCAAATGGGTACATAATATATAAAGATGTCACTTGTTACATCAATAATATAAGGTGGGGTAGAAATACAAAGGAGTAGTTTTTGTATGCTATTAAAGTTAAGTTAATATCAATCTAAAATAGATTTTTATGTCTTTAGGATGCTGTATATAATCTACATGTTAAGCACAAAGAAAGTATAGAATATACACAAAAGGAAAGGAGAAATGTATCAAAACATGTCACTACAAAATCAACTAGACACATGTAAGGAAGCAATGGAAAAAATGAGGGTCAAAAAAGCTTTAAGGCATAAATAGGACAAAATAAAAATGGTAATAGTAAGTTCTTTCCTATCAGCAATTATTTAAATGTAAATGGATTAAAATCCCCAATGAAAATACATAGTTTTGCAAAAAGAATATAAAAGTAGAATTAAACTAAATGTCAAAAAAAGATTCACTTTAGATCTAAGAATACATATCTGTTGAAAGTGAAAGATGGAAAAATTTATTCAATAACAGTAGTAACCAAAAGACAGCAGGGGTGTCAATGTAATATCAGACAAATGATACCAAGTCAAAAAATGTTATAAGAGACAAAGAAGGACATTTTACACTGATAAAAGGGCCAATTTGCCAAGGAGAGATAAAAAGTGTATATATATATATGTATGTAACAAACATCAGGGTTTAAAAATATATGAAGCAAATTTTGACAGAGTTAAAGGTTGAGAAAGCTCCACAATAGTAGTAAGTGATTTATATTTCTCACTTTCAACAATGGATAAAGCAACCAGACAAAAGATTAATACAGAAACAGAGGACTTGAACTCACAACATAGACCAATTGGATCTACAGGCATATGCAAAACCTTCCATTCAACAACATCAAAATAGACATTTTTCTCAGTGCACAGATAGCATTTACCAGATTAGACCATATGCTAAGCCACAAAGCAAATCTTAACAAATTCAAAATGATTGAAATAATACAAAGCATCTTTTCTGATTACAATGGAATGAAACTAGAAATACATAGCAGAAGGAAAACTGTAAAAATCACAAATATGTGGACACTCATTAAAATATTTTTAAATAACCCATGGATCAAAGATGAAATCTGGGAAACTAGCAAATATCTTGAGACAAATGAAAATAAAAACACAATGTGCCTGAACTTAAGGGATGCAGTAAAAGCAGTTTTCCACGTACATCAAAATACGAAAATACAATGAAAGAACCAAAAAATTCAACAGACAACTTCAACAGTAGACTTAGGTATGCAGAAGAAAGAGTAAATTAACTTGAAAACTTATGGGATGCCATCAGGTAAACAAACATGGTTTATGGGAGTGTCAGAGAATAGAGAGAAAAGGAGAAGAAAAGGATATTTAAAGAAATAATGTCTGAAAACTTCCCAAATCTTGGGAAGGATATAGGCATCCAAATTCATGAAACTCAAGAGATATCAAGCAAGATCAAAAAATAAAATAAATCCAAAGTGCAAAGAAAAAATAAAACCCTCTTTCTCTTTAGATGACATAATCTTATATGTAGAAAATCTTTGGCCGGGCACAGTGGCTCATGCCTGTAATCCCAGCACTTTGGGAGGCCGAGGTGGGCTGATCATGAGGTCAGGAGATCGAGACCATGGTGAAACCCCATCTCTACTAAAAATACAAAAAAATTAGCCTGGCGTGGTGGCAGGCGCCTGTAGTCCCAGCTACTCGGGAGGCTGAGGCAGGAGAATGGCGTGAACCCAGGAGGAGGAGCTTACAGTGAGCCAAGATTGCGCCACTGCACTCCAGCCTGGGCGACAGAGCGAGACTCTGTCTCAAAAAAAAAAAAAAAAAAAAAAAGAGAAAAGAAAAAAGAAAATACTTAAAATTCCACAAGAACTGTTAGAACTAATAATAAAATTCAACAAAGTTGCAGAATACAAAATCAACACCCATAAGTTAATTGCATTTCTTCACACCAACAATAATCAGAAATGGAAATAAAGAAATATTATACATTGAAATATGAATAAAATAATAAAATACTTGAGAATAAACTTAAGAAAGGAGATGAAAGACACATATTAGAGAAAACTACAAACTTTGGTGAAAGAAATTGAAGACACAAATAAATGGAAAGGCACCTAGTATTCATGGATTGGAAGAATCAGTATTGTTAAGATATTAAGACTAACCAAAGCAATCTGCAGATTAGATTATCTTGTTTCTCATTTCACTGAGAAAACTGCAACAATTTGAAGAGAACTTTACAATCTTCTCCACCACATCAACACCCTTACTAGTACCCGCACCCATAATATTCTCCTTTACCTAATTATTGCAAGCCAACGTATTGGTGCTCTCAGCTGAAGCCAGCTCATCTATTTGTGCAGCAATTCCCACAACTCCTTATCCCCCCAGGACATTAATCAAAGTCTCACCTCTTTCTCACACATTTTAAATATTTCCCTCTCTTCTGTATCATTTCCCTCAGCATACAAATAATATGCTATTTTGCCTAACTTAGAAAATATTCTCTCTTGACCCCATTCCACCTCTAGATACTTCTCTATTTCTTTGATCCTTCTTTCAATAAGATCTCTCAAGAAAGAGGAATATCATCAGTAAATACAAAGGTTTCATTTTTGCTGCAAGAGAAAGAGGTTTGAGGAGAAAGAATGAGAGTTCATTTTTCAACATGTTGAATCAAGATGTCTGTTACAGACACAAATAGATGTGTCAAGTAAATTGAGATATTATGTATACAATAGAGGTAACTAAGGATAAAATGGTTACATAACTTCCCTTGGCCCCTAGAAGCTAAAAAGTAGCTGACTCAAACTTAGATTATCTGAGCTCCAGAGTATTGCAAACGTTGTGAATTACTTCTCGGTTTAACTTTTGAGACCTCATTCATTTGTTCAACAAATATTTATCCAGTACATACGTTCTGAGTCCTGTGCCCTTGTTCACTAGTTATAAAGGTATAGAAGTATAAGATGTTGATATGGTTTTGCTCTGTGTCCTCACCCAAATCTCACCTAGAACTGTAAGCCCCACATGTCAGGGGAGGGGCCTCATGAGAGGTTACTGAATCAAGGGGTCAGACTTCCCCCTTTCTGTTCTCATGAGATCTGGTTGTTTGAAAGTGTATGGCACTTCCCCCTTTGATTTCTCTCTCTCTGGCCACCATGTAAAGAAGGTTGTTGCTTTCTCCTTCCTCTTCCATCATGATTGTAAGTTTCCTGAGGCCTCCAAACCATGCTTTCTGTTAAGTCTGTGGAACTGTGAGTCAATTGAATCCATTTTCTTTATAAACTACCCAGTCTCAGGTGGTTCATTATAGCAATGTGAAAATGGACTAATGTAGAAAACTAGCACCAGGAAACTGGGACATTTCTATAAAGATACCTGAAAAGGTGGACGTGACTTTGGAACTGAGTAATGGACAGAGTTTGGAACAGTTTGGAGGGCTAAGCAGAAGACAGGAAGAATGGAAAAGTTTGGAACTTTTGACTTGTGAAATGGTTGTGACCAAAATGCCGATGCTATGGACAGTGAAGTCCAGGCTGAGGTGGTATCCGATGAAGATGAGGACCTTATTGGGAACTGGAGTAAAGCTCACTCTTGCTATGCTTTAGCAAAGAGACTGGCAAAATTTTGCCCCTCCCCTAGAGATCTGTGGAACTTTAAACTTGAGAGAGATAATTTAGGGTATCCGATGGAAGAAACTTCTAACCAGCAAAGCATTCAAGATGATAACTGGCTCTTTCTAGTAGTGTAAGCTCATTTGTGTGAATAAAAAGATGGTCTGAAATTGGAACTTATGTTAAAAGGGAAGCAGAGCATACAAATTTGGTAAATTTGCAGGCTGACTATGCAGTAGAAAAATAAAAACCCATTTTCTGGGGAGAAATTCAAGCCAGCTGCAGAAATTTGCATAAGCAACCAGGAGCCAAATGTTAATATAGAAGTCAATAGGGAAAATACCTCTAGGGCATTTCAGATATCTTTGCGGCAGTCCCTCCAGGTCTATAAGACCTGGAGGCCTAATGGGGAAAAATGGTTTCATGGGCCAGGCCCAGGGCCCCACTGCTTTGTACAGTCTCAGAGCATGGCACACTGCATGCCAGCTGCTCCATTTCCAGCCATGGCTAAAAGGGGCCAAAGTACAGCTTGGGTCATTCCTTCAGAAGGTGCAAGCCCCAAGTCTTGGCAGCTTCCATGTGGTGTTGGTGTTGTTCCACAGGTGCACAGAACACAAGAGCAAGATTTGAGAGCCCCCACCTAAATTTCAGAGGATGTATGGAAATGTGTGGGTGTCCAGGAAGAACACTGCTGCAGGGGTGGGGCCCTCATAGAGAATCTCTACTAGGGCAGTGCAGAGGGGGAAATGTGAGGTTGGAGCCCCCATACAGAGTCCCCACTGGAGCACTGCCTAGTAAATCTGTGAGAAAAAGGCCACTATCTTCCAGACCCCAGAATTGTGGATCCACCAACAGCTTTCACTCTGTACCTGTAAAAGCTGCAAGTACTCAATGCCAGCCCATGAAATGAGCTGTGAGGTCTGTACCATACACAGCCATAGGGGTGGAGCTTCCTGAGGTCTCTGGAGCCCACCCCTTGTATCAGCATGCCATAAATGTGAGACATGGAATCAAAGGGATTATTTTAGAGCTTTAAGATTTAATGACTGCCCTGCTGGGTTTCAGACTTGCATGGGACCTGTATAGTCCCTTGGCTTTAGCCAATTTCTCCCTTTTGCAATAAAAGCATTTACCCAATGCAGGTGCCCCCATTGTGTCTTGGAAGTAACTAGCTTGTTTTTCATTTTACAGGCTCGTAAGTGTAAGGTACTTGCCTTGTCTCAGATGAGACTTTGGACTTGGATTTTTGGGTTAATGCTGGAATGAGTTAAGACTTTGGGGGACTGTTGGGAAGGCATGATTGGTTTTGAAATATGAAAAGGACATGAGATTTAGGTAGAGCCAGAGGCCGAATGATATGATTTGACTCTGTGTCCCCATTCAAATCTCATGTCAAGTTGTAATTATCTTATGTGAGGGGAGGGGCCTGGTAGGAGGTGATTAAATCATGGAGGTGACATCCCCCTTGCTGTTCTCATGATATTGAGTGAGTTCTCATGACATCTGATTGTTTGAAAGTGTGTGGCACTTTCCCCTTCACTGTTTTTCTTTTCTGCTGCCATGTGAAGGAGGTCCTTGCTTCCCCTTCTCTTCCACCATGATTGTAAGTTTCCTGATGCCTCTCAGTCATGCTTCTTGTTAAGCCTGTGGAACTGTGAGTCAATTACACTCTTTTTTCATAAACTACTCAGTCTTAGGTAGTTCTTTAAAGCAATGTGAAAACAGACTAATACAGATGTGATTTATTTCAGAAAGGTATTAATTAGTTATTCCTATAGGGTATTTTCATTTAGAATATTTAGAACTGTTTGAAATGTGATCTTATGAAATTTTCTTATCTAAGCCAACATTTTAATAACTTAAATGTTTTTTTAGAATGTGAACTGTTTCAGAAACTGTATTTTACCTGAACAAAGTGTGTGAGATAACATTTGAGGGATAATGGAGTAAACTTAATAATCATATTTAATTACCGATGATCCTTGACTAAAACATTGCAAAAGCTGGTAATCTCTATTAGAAGAGAAAAGCTAAGGGAAAATTAATAAAACTAAGTCATGTGCTCACGACTAGGAATATGTACTTGGTAATTTCAGCTGACCAACAATGTCATGCCACATGATAAATCACTCTTTTTTTCCCTGTAATTGTGGATGGAAAATGATGGAAACTATCCATAGAGAAGCTCAAAAGAATAATAAAATTGTATCTTTATTAATATTGTACATGTGAATGGAATAGTTTGCTAGTGAAAAAGTCATAATCAGCTAGAAACTTAGAGTAAATAAAATAATTCTTAACTATATAAAACTTGGAGTGAAATAACTGCTTTGGATAGGGCAATCTTAATCTCCAACATACAGGTTCAGGAGGAGTTACAATGACACCATTCAAAAAATAGCAGAGACCCAGTAGGAATTGGCAATGGTTTACTCAGTAGAGAATAAGGCCTAAAACTTTACCTAAGTATTATGGTATTTTAGAACATTCTTTTTCAAATTATAGATGATAAAATGTTTTTAGCTTTTTTAATAATGTCTTGTAATTGATTTTTAAAAAGCTGGAAAAGCAAGTTTGCCTTTTCATTTTAAACATGATTATAGAAATCACCGTTGTTCAGGCAAAGTAGCCATTATCAGGCCACTGTAACTCATTGTTCACAGCATGTTCTAATCATAGCAAAGGATGTAAAAAGGCATAAATTTGAGATTTGAGTTTGCAATTATGCCTTGAAAAAAACAGCATTGTCCTGATGCTTGGACTTCTGTAAACAGGGGAAAAGCCTCATTGTACTAATGAAGGGCATACTGGTTTTAGTTTTGATATATTTTCTAATTCTTCAGACGAGAGGAAAGGTGTTTTAGAGAGGGTTTCACAAAAAATTTTACTTCCTAAATTGGTAATTTTCCTCTATAGTATAAGAGACTTAAAGTACCAATACCCAAAGAGCCTCAGAAAAAATGTTTTCAACCAAGTTCATAGTGCTGGATTATATTTTGGAAACTTGCATTGGGATGTGGTAAAGAAGAAGTGCTGTTACCTTAGGCACATGATACTGAAGAAAATTAAAATATTCCACCCCAAATATATTTCCATTTTTAAATTTTACTTTTATTTTAGGTCTAGGGGTGTTAGAGGCATGTGAACAAGAGCAACTCCATCTTGAATAAGGGTTGGGTTAAATGATGCTGAGACCTACTGAGCTGCATTTCCAGATGGTTAAGGCATTCTAAGTCATAGGATGAAATAGGAGATCAGCACAAATACAGGTCATAAAGACCTCTATAATAAATCAGGTTGCAGCAAAGAAGCCAGCGAAAACCCATCAAAACCAAGATGGCTACAAGAGTGACCTCTGGTCGCCCTCACTGCTACACTCCCATTAGCACCATGACAGTTTGCAAATGCTATGGCAACAACAGGAAGTTACCCTATGGGGTCTAAAAAGGGGAGGAATGAATAATCCACTCCTTGTTTAGCATATCATCAAGAAATAACCATAAAAATGGGCAATCAGCAGCCCTCAGGGCTGCTCTGTCTGTGGAGCAGCCATTCTTTTATTCCTTTACTTTCTTAATAAACTTGCTTTTACTTTACTTTATAAGCTCACCCTGATTTTTTTCTTGCACAAGATCCAAGAACCCTCTCTTGGGGTCTGGATCTGGGCCCCTTTCCTGTGACATCTTTTTGGTGACTATAAAGGGATTATAATGTGAAAACCCCCAACTCAAAGACTAACTTTGTGTAAGTGGCGGGGTCCAGCAATATCTTCCTAGTGAACCCTGAAAAGGCAGTACTGAAGGAACCCCCCAACCCAAAGCACTAATTGGCTGACTTTGAGTAAGTGGTGGGGTACCCAGGTAAAAAATGGGATTGGCTTATAAACCCAACTTAAGGGAGTTAGAGTCTCTACTAAGACAGAGACCCCTCTTAATAAAAAGCAAGGATGCTTGACTGACCTTAGGTTAGAGGGCTAACTTAGAAGGGCTAGAGTCCCTCCTAAGATTCAGCTAGGATAGAGGTCCCTCTCAGTAAATTTTCTTTTGTCTAAGAACGGGTTTGGCACTAAGGGATATTAACAGCCATTCTCTTTGGAATAATCTGCCTTGCACTCTTTGCTAACAGCTGTGGGTAATAGGATTAGGCATGTACAGGATGGTGGGACATGGGGAGCTTTTTTCTCACGAAAAGGGGAAACTTGAGAACCGATGGGACTGTTGGAAATAATCCCTTCATGACCAACAAGCAGCTCCCTAAACTTTGGATTTGGTGTCACTGCAATGGGTGCGTCTTTCTCTGGCTTCCCTGAGCTTTTCACCTTCCCCACCCTGCCACAGGCTACGCGTTTCTTTCTCCTTTCTCTTTCCTATCTTTTCTATTACTCAGGGTGACCATCTTGTCCAGAGAGCACAAGTTGAAACTCCTGGTCAGAGATTGGCTTAACAATTATGGGGCCCAACTGGGGGCAAGTTTGAGCTTTGCCAGATTAATATTAGGTACTAAGCAGAGTGGCTAATGTCTATGTTTTTTCACAAGTATTTTGCTCTGGCCAGATGGAAAAAGATAATTTTACTTTGTGTTGCGGCTTGGCCCCCAGGGCTATGGTGCAGCAAGCCAGGTCACCAGGGCCACTCAGGGAAAGGAAATCCAGAAGTCTGTCATGCTGGCAAAAGGGTAAGAATTTCTTACTAGTCAGACTTCTGGCCCCACTCTATCCCTCTCTCTGTGCAAATTGGTTGAATGAATGGCAAAATCACTGTTTATCTCCTCTGTAAAGCTTTTGCTTAATGGAAAAGAGAACTTTTGGAGCTAATCTTAAGCTGCAGTGAATCTGGTGTGCTTTGTGTACATTTCTGTATTGTTCTGTCATAATGAGGGGTACCTTAGAATAGAATGTGTGACTGGGATCCCATAAACCCACTTTTCTTTTTTTTTATTTTATTATTATTATACTTTAAGTTTTAGGGTACATGTGCACAATGTGCAGGTTAGTTACATATGTATACATGTGCCATGCTGGTGTGCTGCACCCAGTAACTCGTCATTTAGCATTAGGTATATCTCCTAATGCTATCCCTCCCCTCCCCCCCACCCCAGAACAGTCCCCAGAGTGTGATGTTCCCCTTCCTGTGTCCATATGTTCTCATTGTTCAGTTCCCACCTATGAGTGAGAATATGTGGTGTTTGGCTTTTTGTTCTTGTGATAGTTTACTGAGAATGATGATTTCCAATTTCATCCATGTCCCTACAAAGGACATGAACTCATCATTTTTTATGGCTGCATAGTATTCCATGGTGTATATGTGCCACATTTTCTGAATCCAGTCTATCATTATTGGACATTTGGGTTGGTTCTAAGTCTTTGTTATTGTGAATAGTGCCGCAATAAACATACGTGTGCATGTGTCTTTATAGCAGCATGATTTATAGTCCTTTGGGTATATACCCAGTAATGGGATGGCTGGGTCAAATGGTCTTTCTAGTTCTAGATCCCTGAGGAATCGCCACACTGACTTCCACAATGGTTGAACTAGTTTAGAGTCCCATCAACAGTGTAAAAGTGTTCCTATTTCTCCACATCCTCTCCAGCACCTGTTGTTTCCTGACTTTTTAATGATTGCCATTCTAAATGGTGTGAGATGATATCTCATTGTGGTTTTGATTTGCATTTCTCTGACGGCCAGTGATGATGAGCATTTTTTTATGTGTCTTTTGGCTGCATAAATGTCTTCTTTTGAGAAGTGTCTGTTCATGTCCTTTGCCCACTTTTTGATGGAGTTGTTTGTTTTTTTCTTGTAAATTTGTTTGAGTTCATTGTAGATTCTGGATATTAGCCCTTTGTCAGATGAGTAGGTTGTGAAAATTTTCTCCCATTTTGTAGGTTGTCTGTTCACTCTGATGGTAGTTTCTTTTGCTGTGCAGAAGCTCTTTAGTTTAATTAGATCCCATTTGTCAATTTTGGCTTTTGTTGCCATTGCTTTTGGTGTTTTAGACATGAAGTCCTTGCCCAAGCCTATGTCCTGAAGGGTAATGCCTAGGTTTTCTTCTAGGGTTTTTATGGTTTTAGGTCTAATGTTTAAGTCTTTAATCTATCTTGAATTAATTTTTGTATAAGATGTAAGGAAGGGATCCAGTTTCAGCTTTCTCCATATGGCTAGCCAGTTTTCCCAGCACCATTTATTAAATAGGGAATCCTTTCCCCATTGCTTGTTTTTCTCAGGTTTGTCAAAGATCAGATAGTTGTAGATATGTGGCATTATTTCTGTGGGGTCTGTTCTGTTCCATTGGTCTATATCTCTGTTTTGGTACCAGTACCATGCTGTTTTGTTTACTATAGCCTTGTAGTATAGTTTGAAGTCAGGTAGCATGATGCCTCCAGCTTTGTTCTTTTGGCTTAGGATTGACTTGGTGATGCGGGCTCTTTTTTGGTTCCATATGAACTTTAAAGTAGTTTTTTCCAATTCTGTGAAGAAAGTCATTGGTAGCTTGATGGGGATGACATTGAATCTATAAATTACCTTGGGCAGTATGGCCATTTTCACGATATTGATTCTTCCTACCCATGAGCATGGAATGTTCTTCCATTTCTTTGTATCCTCTTTTATTTCATTGAGCAGTGGTTTGTAATTCTCCTTGAAGAGGTCCTTCACATCCCTTGTAAGTTGGATTCCTAGGTATTTTATTCTCTTTGAAGCAATTGTGAATGGGAGTTCACTCATGATTTGGCTCTCTGTTTGTGTGTTATTGGTGTGTAAGAATGCTTGTGATTTTTGTACATTGATTTTGTATCCTGAGACTTTGCTGAAGTTGCTTATCAGCTTAAGGAGATTTTGGGCTGAGACAATGGGGTTTTCTAGATATACAATCATGTCATCTGCAAACAGGGACTATTTGACTTCCTCTTTTCCTAATTGAATACCCTTTATTTCCTTCTCCTGCCTAGTCGCCCTGGCCAGAACTTCCAACACTATGTTGAATAGGAGTGGTGAGAGAGGGCATCCCTGTCTTGTGCTAGTTTTCAAAGGGAATGCTTCCAGTTTTTGCCCATTCAGTATGACATTGGCTGTGGGTTTGTCATAGATAGCTCTTATTATTTTGAGATACGTCCCATCAATACCTAATTTATTGAGAGTTTTTAGCATGAAGCGTTGTGGAATTTTGTCAAAGGCCTCTTCTGCATCTATTGAGATAATCATGTGGTTTTTGTCTTTGGTTCTGTTTATATGCTGGATTACATTTATTGATTTGCATATATTGAACCAGCCTTGCATCCCAGGGATGAAGCTCACTTGATCATGGTGGATAAGCTTTTTGATGTGCTGCTGGATTCGGTTTGCCAGTATTTTATTGAGGATTTTTGCATCAATATTCATCAAGGATATTGGTCTAAAATTCTCTTTTTTGGTTGTGTCTCTGCCCAAGCCCACTTTTCAAGATGGCCCAGGAACCTGGTCAGTCATGTCTTTGGGAGCTTGACCTTGTAATCACGTGGCTATGCTTTCTCTTTTCACAATAGCAGCCCAGGTTTAGGGCCTAATTCCTGGCTTAGGGAATGAATCCTTTACTTTCTGTCTGTCTGTGTATTTATATGTGTTGTCTATGTAATGTTTATATACAAGAGAGCTTTGATAAATTGGTTTAAGAATAATAAGTGCTTAAATAAAATATTTTGTCAAAAAAGTAAAAAAAGTAATGCCTTTTATTTAGTTCATGTGAGTTAAGTAATATTTTGAAAATAAAGACAGTCTTAAAAATTATTGGCAAAATAAAAATATCTTCAAAAATGTAAACATTTGGTCTAAATTATGCAGGTCAGATATTAGGTTTGCTAAATGCTTTAAGGTCATAAACTGTATCTTTGACTTTTAAAAATTATTCAATTTACCTATTTTGGAGCATTAAATTCCAAATAAAGCCTGGGGACATGTGGAATTAGCCATGCCCCCTAGCTATGCAAAGAAGGTTATAAAGAAAAGGTATTTTATATAAGAAAGGATCTCTCATGGTACACCCTTGTCCTAAAGTAAAATAACTGGTTGTTAAAAAAAAATAAATGTTTAGGACAAGTCAAAAATCTTAGCATGTTGTAGATGGTCTGTGTATGTCATAAAAGAATTTATAAAAAATAAGTTATGCAAGAAATGTTGTACAATTTAAAGGTGATTAGGCTTCCTTAATGCTTCATAAAATGCCACTATGACTCATAACTGTACAACTTTCTTTCTTTACAGCTAGGTAAGGCCTGGAACACATGGAGTTAGATGCTAAGAAGAGTCATACCTTATCTGCACTTCTGTCTGAGTCCTAAGCTCCACACCTAGTACATAATTAAAATCGCAAACTTACCAATGTTTCCACCAAAAGTTGCTAAAACTTAACAGTGTAACATGTGTTTAAGGCTACAAAAAAAAAAACAAATAATTTTACAGTCAAAGTGTGTAAGGAAAGTAAAATGTGTTTTTGTTAGAAGATTATAAAAAGGCATGGAAATGTGGGTTTTTTTGCCTAAAGGGCTAAAGGATTGTTTTAAATTAGGACAAAGCTAAAGGTTTAAGCAAGTTGTGGAAGGTTTGTGAAAAAAAATTTGTAAAAGAAATTCTGTGTGTAAATACAGAATATTGGCTAAAGTTAAAGGGGTATTCATTTTTTCTGTGAAGTGAACATTGGAATAAAAATGAAACAGGATTTTCTTAAAGCAAAAACCTGTGTGTAATCTGCACTTTAACACAAATTTGTAAAGGGTTGTAAAAACCTTATAAAAATTTTACCTTATGTTCAAACTGATTAAAGGTAAATATATTTGTCTATAAGGTTTTATTTAAAATTGAGTTTGACATCAATAATGAAATAATGCAACAGTAACATTTGGCTTATTTGGTGTAAAAATCATACAGGAAGCATTGTCAAATATGAAATGGTGTTTGGTTTTCTTTGGGCTATATTTGTGTAAATGTTATCGGTTTATGTTCCAAAATTATGGGAAACTCCTGTAATTCTAATATGACTTAGTGTAAGTTATAATAATTATAATTATTACATAAAATCATGTATGGCACAAAGTTAACCAATATTTTTTGTCAATTGTGTTTTTAACTGTGGCTGCCCTAAAATATTCCTCATCCACAAACAATTGTTTTCTTGTTTTAATTCTCTTTAAAAGGTGGTATATAATCAACTGTAGAACTCTATTAGACATTTTTTTTTGAGATGGAGTGTTGGTCTTGTCACCCAGGCTGGAGTGCAATGGCACGATCTTGGCTCACTGCAAACTCCACCTCCCAGGTTCAAGTGATTCTCCTGCCTCAGCCTCCCAAGTAGCTGGGATTACAGGCACCCACCACCACGCCCAGCTAATTTTTTGTATTTTTAGTAGAGACGGAGTTTCACCATGTTGGCCAGGCTGGTCTCAAACTCCTGACCTCAGGTGATCCACCCACCTCGGCCTCCCAAAGTGCTGGGATTACAGGCATGAGCCACCGCACTCTGCCTATTAGACATTCTTGAGGGCAGGTTTCTAATAACTTTGGAAATTGTGGCTTTAAAATACAGAAAACATTTTCACAACTCTCATAAAAAGCTGAAATGTTCATTAATATCAAACAGAAAGTATCAAAATCAATTGAACCAATAAAAAAGTAAAGTAAACTTTTTAAACTTTTTTTGCTTAAAACATTGCTAATCTTTTGTTTTGTTTTTTAGAGTCAAAGAAACTTTGATTTTGAGCTATTTACAGCTTTTAACAATTTAGTAAAATATAGTTCTGTAAACAAAATTTGGAGCACATTTGTTTCTCTGTACCTAATTTCTCCAGAATTTGAAAACTATTTGTGAGTATTCTTAACTACGGCAGTATAGTTATTTGCATAAGTGCGAAAAGAATCTGTTTTCTTCTGTAACAGGACACAATTGGAAAAACTGGTTATTTGACTGGAATGGCATGCTTTCCTTTAAGAAATCGTTTTTGACTTGTAAAGCCAATAAATCCCCTTGGGAAACTCAGCTCATACCTTGCCTACACAGTCACTGTACAGGGTTTCTGACCTGTGGTAAGTAAAGAATGTCACTTTCTCACAGGCCCAGGAGTGCCAAGTTATCTTGAAACCCCAAGAGGAGAGAAATTTACTCAACTCATAGGTATTTAAGGGTACAAACCCATGGCAGAGCTTGGTTCTACAAAAGTCTTATCTAAGATTCCTTCTACAGAACAAAGTTCTATCAAAGCCAATTTAAAAAAGCTTACGTAAAACATAATTGTTCTTGCTGCACCTTATACAAATAATCTGGCCAGGTACAATAAAGCAAATCAGTCTTGCCATGATTTATCTTTAGTAAAAATGGGAAACTGAAAAAAGAAAAATTATGTTTCAAGAACTATGGTACACTTGTTATTAAATTCTAGTCTCATCTGTCGTTTTTAAGTTTGTTTCTACAATTTAAGCTAACCCTGACTTTTCCTGTAAACCAACCAGTAATGTCTAACTGCTGCTCAGAAAAAACAAGAGGGATGGGTAATATAAAAATCTAAATCAATATTCTAATTCTAAGCTTATTAATATCAGCTAGCGACCCCATATCAGCTTGGTTCCAACAGTTGCCCAGTTTATGATAAATCTTCTAATGTAGTTTACTTTAAATAATTTTTGGCTTTACTTTTGTGGAATATATTGCTGTTATACTCTTTGGGTAGGAATGCAGGATAAGTTTACTGAATTTTTTTAACTGAATACTTATTAAACTTCCAGATATTACCTCTTGTCAAAACTCAAGATTCATAAATGGCTCTTGACATACAAATGCTTTCTGACTGAGCTCCTCTCTACCCCAAATACAAGAGACCCTAAGAGTTATGGAGAAATGTCATTGCCCCTATTCAGCCTGAAAAAGTTACAGAAGATGAATATTTGTCCATCTGCAACCCCTGGGATTAAAAATTCTCTTGTAAAAGGGAGGGGGGAAACATCAGAAAGGTGTGAAACAGAGCAATTCCATGTTGTGTAGGGGCTGCGTAAAATGATGCTGAGACCTACTGGGTTGCACTCCCAGATAATTAAGGAATTCTAAGTCATAGGATGAGATAGGAGGTTGGTACAGACATACGTCATAAAGACCTTGCTAATAAAACAGGTTGCACCCTTGGGGTGAAGATGGATGAATAGGAACAGCTTCGGTCTGCAGCTCCCAGCAAGATCAATGCAGAAGGTGGGGGATTTCTGCATTTCCAACTGAGGTACCTGGCTCATCTCACTGGGACAGGTTAGACACTGGGTACAGCCATGGAGGGCGAGCTTAAGCACTTCACCCAGGAAGTGCAAGGGGTCAGGATACTCCCTCGCCGAGCCAAGGGAAGCTGTGAGGGACTGTGCAGTGAAAAATGGTGCATTCTGGCCCAGATTCTATGCTTTTCCCATAGTCTTCTCAAATTGCAGACCAGGAGATTCTCTTGGGTGCCTACTACTACCAGGGCCTTAGGTTTTAAGCACAAAACTGGGTGGTCATTCGGGCAGAAACCGAGCTAGCTGAAGGGGTATTTTTTCAAACACCAGTGGCATCTGAAATGCCAGTGAGACAGAACCATTCACTCTCCTGGAAAAGGGGCTGAAGCCAGGGAACCAAGTGGTCTAGTTCAGCGGATCCCACCCCCAGGGAGCCCAGCAAGCTAAGATCCACTGGCTTGAAATTCTTGCTGCCAGTAGAGACATCTACAGGACTCTTCACCCCAAATCAACAGAATATATATTCTTCTCAGCACCACATCACACTTATTCTAAAACTGACCACATAATTGGAAGTAAAACATTCTTCAGCAAATGTAAAAGAATGGAAATTATAACAGTCTCTCAAACCACAATGCAATCAAATTAGAACTTAGGATTAAGAAACTCACACAAAACCACACAATTACATGGAAACTGAACAACCTGCTCCTGAATGACTACTGGGTAAATAACGAAATGAAGGCAGAAATAAATAAGTTCTTTGAGACCAATGAGAACAAAGACACAACGCAGTAGAATCTCTGGGACACAGCCAAAGCAGTGGTTAGAGGGAAATTCATAGCACTAAATGCCCACAGGAGAAAGCAGGAAAGATTTAAAATTGATGCCTAACATCACAATTAAAATAAGTAGAGAAGTAAGAGCAAACAAATTCAAAAGCCAGCAGAAGGCAAGAAATAACTAAGATCAGAGCAGAACTGAAGGAGATAGAGAAATGAAATACCCATCAAAAAAGTAATGAATTCAGGAGCAGGTTTTTTAAAAAAGTTAAAAAAATAGATAGACTGCTAGCCAGACTAACGAAAAAAAGAGAGAAGAATCAAATAGACATAATAAAACATGATAAAGGGGATATCATCACTGATCTCACAGAAATACAAATTGCAATCAGAGAATACTATAAAAAACTCAGTGCAAATAAACTGGAAAATCTGGAAGAAATGGATAAATTCCTGGACACATACACCCTCCCAAGACTAAACCAGGAAGAAGTTGAATCCATGAATAGACAAATAACAAGTTCTGAAATTCAGCCAGTAATTAACAGCCTATCAACTAAAAAAATCCCAGGATCAGACAGATTCACAGCCTAATTCTACCAGAGGTACAAAGAGGAGCTAGTATCACTCCTTCTGAAACTATTCCAAACAATAGAACAAGGTGGACTCCTCCCTAACTCATTTTATGAGGCTAGCATCATCCTGATACCAAAACCTGGCAGAGAAACAACAAAAAAAGAAAATTTCAGGTCAATATCCCTGATGAAATTTGATGCGAAAATCCTCAGTAAAACACTGCCAAACCGAATCCAGCAGCACATCAGAAAGCTTATTGACCATGACCAAGTCAGCTTCATCCCTGGGATGCAAGGCTGGTTCAACATACACAAATCAATAAGTGTAATCTATCACATAAACAGAACCAATGACAAAAACCACATGATTATCTCAATAGATACAGAAAAGGCCTTTGATAAAATCAACACCCTTTCATGCTAAAAACTCTCAGTAAACTAGGTACTGATGGAACGTATTTCAAAATAGTAAGAGCTATTTATTACAAACCCACAACCAATATCATACTGAACGGGCAAAAGCTGGAAGCATTCCCTTTGAAAACTGGCACAATACTAGGATGCCCTCTCTCACCACTCCTACTCAACATAGTACTGGAAGTTCTGGCCAGGGCAATCAGACAAGAGAAAGAAATAAATGGTATTCAAATAGGAAAAGAGGAAATCAAATTGTCTCTGTTTGCAGATAACATGATTGTATATTTAGAAAACCCCATCGTCGCAGCCCAAAATTTCCTTAAGCTGAGAAGCAACTTCAGCAAAATCTCAGGATACAAAATCAATGTGCAAAAATTACAAGCATTCCTATACACCAATAATAGACAAACAGAGAGCCAAATCATGAGTGAACGCCCATTCACAATTGCTACAAAGAGAATAAGATACCTAGGAATACAACTTGCAAAGGATGTGAAGGACCTCTTCAAGGAGAACTACAAACCACTGCACAAGGAAATAAGAGAGGACACAAACAAATGGAAAAACATTCCATGCTCATGGATAGGAAGAATCAATATTGTGAAAATGGTCATAGTGCCCAAAGTAATATATAGACTCAATGCTATTCCCATTAAGCTACCATTGACTTTCTTCACAGAATTAGAAAAACTACTCTAAATTTCATATGGAACCAAAAAAGAGCCTGCATTGCCAAGACAATCCTAAGCAAAAAAACAAAACTGGAGGCATCGCGCCACCTGACTTCAAACAACACTACAAGGCTACAGTAATAACCAAAACAGCATGGTACTGGTACCAAACAGATATATAGACCAATGGAACAGAACAGAGGCCTCAGAAATAATGCCACACATCTACAACCATCTAATCTTTGACAAACCTGACAAAAGCAAGCAATGGGGAAAGGATTCCCTATTTAATAAATGATGTTGGGAAAACTGGCTAGCCATGTGTAGAAAACTGAAACTGGACCCCTTCCTTACACCTTATACAAAAATTAACTCAAGATGGATTAAAAACTTAAATGTAAGCCCTAAAACCACAAAAACCCCAGAAGAAAATCTAGGCAGTACCATTCAGGATATAGGAATGGGCAAAGACTTCATGGGTAAAACACCAAAAGCAATGGCAACAAAAGCCAAAATTGACAAATGGGATCTAATTAAACTAAAGAGCTTCTGCACAGCAAAAGAAACTATCATCAGAGTGAACAGGCTACCTTCAGAATGGGTGAAAATTTTTGCAATCTATCCATCTGACAAAGGGTTAATATCCAGAACCTACAAGTAACTTAAACAAATTTACGAGAAAAAAAAAAAAACCATCAAAAATTGGGTGAAGGATATGAACACACACTTCTCAAAAGAAGACATTTATGCGGCCAACAAACATATGAGTAAAAGTTTATCATCACTGGTCATTAGAGAAATGCAAATCAAAACCACAATGAGATACCATCTCATGCCATTTAGAATGGTGATCATTAAAAAGTCAGGAAACAACAGATGCTGGAGAGGATGTTGAGATATAGAAACGCTTTTACACTGTTGGTGGGACTGTAAACTAGTTCAACCATTGTGGAAGACAGTGTGGCCATTCCTCAAGGATCTAGAACTAGAAATACCATTTGACCCAGCCATCCCATTACTGGATATGTACCCAAAGGATTATAAATCATTCTACTATGAAAACACATGCACACGTATGTTTATTGTGGCACTATTCACAATAGCAGAGACTTGGAACCAACCCAAATGCCCATCTTTGATGGACTGGATAAAGAAACTGTGGCACATATACACCATGGAATACTATGCAGCCATTGAAAAGGATGAGTTCATGTCCTTTGCAGAGACATGGATGAAGCTGGAAACCATCAACCTCAGCAAACTAACACAGGAACAGAAAACCAAACACTACATGTTCTCATTCATAAGTGGGAGTTGAACAAAGAGAACACATGGACATAGGGAGGGAAACATCACACACTGGGGTCTGTCAGGGGGTGGGGGACTAGAGGAGGGATAGCATTAGGAGAAATACCTAATGTAGATGACGGTTTGATGGGTGCAGCAAACCACCATGGCACGTGTATACCTATGTAACAAATCTGCTCAGGTATCCCAGAACTTAAAGCATAAAAGAAAAAAAAAAAAAAAACAGTTGCAGTAAAAAAAGGCCAGCTAAAACTCACCAAAACCAAGATGGCTACAAGATTGACCTCTGGTCTTCTTCGCTGCTACACTTCCATCAGCGCCATGACAGTTTACAAATGCTATGGCAATGTCAGGAAGTTACCCTACATGGTCTAAAAAGGGGAAGCATGAATAATCCATCCTTTGTTTAGCATATCATCAAGAAATAACCATAAAAATGGGCAACTAGCAGCCCTCAGTGCTTCTTTTTCTGTGGAGTAGCCATTCTTTTATGCCTTTACTTTCTTAACAAACTTGATTTCACTTTACTGTATACACTCACTCTGAATTCTTTCTTATGTGAAATTCAAGAACCCTCTCTTGGGTTCTGAATCCGGACCCCTTTTCTGTAACAGAGGTACATGTGCAGGCTTGTTATACAAGTAAACTTATGGTATGGAGTTTGTTGTACAGATTATTTCATCACCCAGGTATTAAGCATAGTACCCATTAGTTATTTTTCCTAGTTCCCTTCCTCTTCACAGCTTCCACCCTTAAGTAGAGCCCAGTGTCCATTGTTCCCCTCTCTGTTTCCATGTGTTTTCATTATTTAGCTCCCACTTATAAGTGAGAACATGCAATGTTTGGTTTTATGTCCCTGTGTTAGTTTGCTGAGTATAATGGCCTCCAGCTCCATCCACGTCTCTGCAAAGAATATGATCTCATTCTTTTCTATGGCTGAAGAGTATTCCATTGGGAAGATTTCTGAGTATACATGTTAAATAAATTTTCAATCAATTTACCTCATGCCAGTAATTTTCCAGTGAAACTTTAGGGGGCCAAGAGACTTTGACCCCCACCATACTAAGTATTTTCCTATTGTCATAATAAAACAATAAATGATACATTGATTCAAAATCAGTAAAGCAAACAGTGCTTTACGTTTATGTTTTAATAAATATTAAAACTGTGAAACAAGTGAAAACTGAAAAAATACATGATATTTTTGGTGAATTCTGAAACCTTGTTATGTTGCTCAAGTGGAAAATAGCCTACAGGATAATTTAACATTGTCACTTGAATTGTCTTTACAGTCTATTTATTTTATACGTTTGTCATTTAATTGTTTTCCATTGTAAACATATTTACTATGGTATTTTCTGTCATTTCTACTCCATAGTAAACACCTAAACCACTTTATCTTAGTATCTGTAGTATTCTTTTTAAAAAATTTTTACTTTAAGTTCTGGGATACATGTGCAGAACGTGCATGTTCGTTACATAGGTATGCATGTGCCATGGTGATTTGCTGCACCTATTGACCCGTCATCTAAGTTCCCTCCCCTCGCCCACCACCCCCAAACAGGTTCCAGTGTGTGTGTTGTTCCCATTCTGTGTCTATGTGTTCTCATTGTTCAACTCCCACTTATGAGTGAGAACATGAGGTATTTGGTTTTCTGTTCTTGTGTTAGCTTGCTGATGATGATGGCTTCCAGCTTCACCTATATCCCTGCAAATGACATGATCTCATTCTTTTTTATGGCTGCATAGTATTCTATGGTGTATATGTGTCACATTTTCTTTTTCCAGTCTATCATTGATGGACATTTGGGTTGGTTCCATGTCTTTGCTATTGAAAATAGTGCTGCAATAAACATACATGTGCATTTGTCTTTACAGTAGAATGATTTATATTCCTTTGGGTATATGCCCAGTAATGCGATTGTTGGGTCAAATGGTATTACAGGTTCCAGATCTTTAAGGAATCACCACGCAGTTTTCCACAATGTTTAAACTAATTTACATTTCCACCAACAGCGTAAAAGCATTTTTATTTCTTCACAGCCTCGCCAGCATCTATTGTTTCATGGCTTTTTAACGATCGCCATTCTAACTGGCATGAGATGGTATCTCACTGTGGTTTTGATTTGCATTTCTCCAACAATCAGTGATGTTCAGCTTTTTTTTTGTAGGTTTGTTGGCTGCATAAATGTCTTCTTTTGAGAAGTGTCTGTTCATATTCTTTGTTCACTTTTTAATGGGGTTGTTTGTTTTTTTCTTGTAAATTTGTTCAAGTTACTTGTAGGTTCTGGATATTTGACCTTTGTCAAATGGGTAGATTGCAAAAATTTTCTCCCATTCTGTAGGTTGCCTGTTCACGCTGATGATAGTTTCTTTTGCTGCACAGAAGCTCTTTAGTTTAATCAGATCTCATTTGTCAATTTTGACTTTTGTTGAAATTGCTTTTGGCATTTTCTTCATGAAGTCTTTGTCATTTAATCTATAAAATTGTTTTGAATATTAAAAATGATAAAATATTTTCCATATTTAGTGTTTTGGGAGGGGAAATGCATTCAAGTGATAACTATCTTTCTAAAAGGTGGCTTTATAATTTTTCAAATGTTAGGTCAGTTTATAGAAATACTCTCATTGTAGAGATCTTTCACCTCCCTGGTTAGCTGTATTCCTAGGATTGTTTTCTTTTAGTGTCTTTGTGAATGGAATGGCATTTCTGATTTAGCTCATGGTTTTGGCTGTTGGTGATGTATAGTAATGCTAGTAACTTTTGTGCATTGATTTTGTATCCTGAAACTTTGCTGATGTTGTTTATCAGCTGTATGAACTTTTGGGCTGAGGTTATGGCATTTTCTAGATGTAGAACCATGTTGTCTGCACATAGAGATAGTTTGACTTCCTCTTCTCCTGTTTGGATGTCTTTTATTTCTTACTTTTGCCTGATTGCTCTGGCTAGGACTTCCAATACTATGTTGAATAGAAGTGGTGAGAGAGGTTGTCCTTGTCTTGTGCTGGTTTTCAAAGGGAGTGCTTCCAGCTTTTGCCCATTCAGTATAATGTTTGCTCCGGGTTTGCCATAGATGGTTCTTATTATTTTAAGGTATGTTTCTTCAATACCTAGTTTATTGAGAGTTTTTAACATGAAGGAGTGTTGAATTTTATCAAAAGCCTTTCCTGTGTCTATTGAGATAATCATGTGGTTTTTGTCTTTAGTTTTGTTTATGTGATGATTTACATTTATTGAGTTTTATATGTTGAACCAACTTTGCATCCCAGGAATAAAGCCTACTCGATCATGGTGGATTAGCTTTTTGACATGCTGCTGGATTTGGTGTGCAAGTATTTTGTTGAGGATTCTTGCATGATGTTTATCAGGAATATTGGCCTGAAGTTTTCTTTATTGATGTGTCTCTGCCAGGTTTTTGTGCCAACATGATGTTGGCCTTATAGAATGAGTTGGGGAGGAGTCCCTCCTCCTCAATTTTTTGGAGTAGCTTCTATAGGAATGGTACCAGCTCTTTGTACATCTGGTAGATTTCGGCTGTGAATCCATCAGATGCTGGGCTTTTTTTGGTTGGTAGGCTGTTTATTTATTACTGATTCAATTTCAAAGCTCTTTATTGGTCTGTCCCAGGAATCAGTTTCTTCCTGGCTCAGTCTTGGGAGGGTGTAAATGTTGAGGAATTTGTTCATCTCTTCTAGGTTTTCTAGTTTGTGTGCATAGAGCTGTTCATAGTAGTTTCTCATGGTTGTTTTTTCTTCTGTGGGGTCAGTAGTAATGGTCCTTTAATCATTTCTATAGTGAGAATTACAAAACACTGCCCAAAGAAATCAGAGAAGACACAAATAATTGGAAAAGTGTACCATGACCATGGATAGAAAGAATCGATGTCATTAAAATGACTAAACTGCCCAAAGCAATTTACAGATTGAATGCTATTATTATCAAAATACCAATCACATTCTTCACAGAGCTAGAAAAAGCTATTTTAAAATTCACATGGAACCAAAAACGAGCCTGAATACCCAAGGCGATCCTAAGCAAAAAGAACAAAGCTGGGGGCATCACACTACCTGACTTGAAACTATAGTAGGGGGCCACTGTAACCAAAATGGTATGGTACTGGTACAAGAACAAACATAGACCAATGGATCAGGATAGAGAGCCCAGAAGTAAGACTGCACATCTACAACCATCTGATCTTTGACAAAGCTGAAAAAAATGAGCAATAGAAAGAAGACTCCCTATTCAATAAATGGTGCTGGGATAAATGGCTGATCATATGCAGAAGGTTGAAGCCGGAACCCTTCCATAAAACATATACAAAAATCAACTCAAAATGGATTAAAGACTTAAATGTAAAACCCAAAACTATAAAAACCCTGGAAGAAAACCTAGGCAATACCATCCTGGACATAGGAATGGGCAAAGATTTCATGACAAATATACCAAATTCATTGCAACAAAAGTAAAATTAACAAGTGGGATCTAATTAAACTTAAGAGCTTCTGCACAGTAAAGGAAACTATCAACAGAGTAAACAGACATCCTACAGAAAGGGAGAAAATATTTGCAGACTACGCATCTGACAAAGGTCTAATATCCATCATGTATAAGGAACTTAAACAAATTTACAAAAGAAAAAAAAACATTAAAAAGTGCACAAAGGACATTAACAGACTCTTTTCAAAAGAAGATGTACATGCAACCAACAAGCATATGAAAAAAAGCTCAATATCAAGATGGATTAAAGACTTAAATGTTAGACCTAAAACCATAAAAACCCTAGAAGAAAACCTAGGCATTACCATTCAGGACCTAGGCATGGGCAAGGACTTCATGTCTAAAACACCAAAAGCAATGGCAACAAAAGCCAAAATTGACAAATGGGATCTAATTAAACTAAAGAGCTTCTGCACAGCAAAAGAAACTACCATCAGAGTGAACAGACAACCTACAAAATGGGAGAAAATTTTCACAACCTACTCATCTGACAAAGGGCTAATATCCAGAATCTACAATGAACTCCAACAACTACAATGAACTCTCACTCATAGATGGGAATTGAACAATGAGAATACATGGACACAGGAAGGGGAACATCACACTCTGGGGACTGTTGTGTGGTGGGGGGATGGGGGAGGGATAGCATTAGGAGATATACCTAATGCTAAATGACGAGTTAATGGGTGCAGCACACCAGCATGGCACATGTATACATATGTAACTAACCTGCACATTGTGCACATGTACCCTAAAACTTAAAGTATAATAATAATAAAAAAATAAAAAAATAAAAATAAAAAAAAGAAAAAAAGCTCAGTGTCACTGATCGTTATAGAAATGCAAATCAAAACCACAATGAGATACCATCTCACATCAGTAAGAATGGTTATTCTTAAAAAGTGAAAATATAGCAGATGCTGGTGAGGTTGTGGAGAAAAGGAAACACTTATACACTGTTGGTGGGAGTATAAATTCATTCAGCCATTATGGAAAGCAGTATGATGATTCCTCAAAAAGCTTAAAGCAGAGCTATCATTTGACCCAGCAGTCTCATTACTTTGTATATACCCAGAGGAATATAAATTATTCTACCATAAAGACACATGCAAGCGAATGTTTATTACAAAACTTTTTACAATAACAGAGACATGGAATTAACCTAAATGCCCATCAATGACAGATTGGATAAAAAAATGTGGTACCTATACACCGTGGAATACTGTACAGCCATAAAAAAGAATGAGATAATTTTCTTTGCCAAAACATGGATGGAGCTGGTGGCTATTATCTTTAGCAAACTAACACAGGAAAAGAAAACCAAATACCATGTGTTCTCACCTATAAATGGGAGCTAAATAATAAAAATGTATGAACACAAAGAAGGAAACAACAGACACTGTGGTACTTGAGGGTGGAGAGTGGGAGGAGAGAGAGGAGCAGAAAATATAACTATTGGGTACTGGGCTTAATACCTCGTTGATGAAATAATCTGTACAACAACCCCCAATGTCACATGTTTACCTATGTAACAAACATTCACTTATAGTCCCAAAACTAAAACTAAAGTTTAGAAAAAAATTAAAACAAAAAATAGTCAGTATAGTGTTTTCTCCTTTTCAACACTTCCTACCTTGAAGTGAGGAAAAATGAAGGTAAATTCAAAGCACGTTTTCTTTAAACTGTTCCTTTTTAATAAGAGGGGTTTTTCTAAAATCACAAGATATAAGATCCTTTCTCTAAAATTCTTTAACACAATGCCTACATAAGGTCTTTAGATTCACACTTGGTGACAAGTGTGGGCATGTGAAAATTGCAATCTTATTTTAAAATTATAATACACATTAGACCTGTTATATGAAAAGGCAAATGTACAAAACTTACTGAGTTAACTGTTTTGCAGATCTTGAAGTTTCCCCAGCATATGCTTCTGTTGGTTTTATGGTAAGTCCCATTGCAACTCCCAGAACAAGTTCCCTTTCAGGCATCATAAGAGGTCTCCTTGTGGGACTCACAGTAGTTCTTGCCCATCCCAGAACAAATATCTGTGCAGAACTCACAGGACGTCTCTTTGAAGATCTCACAATTCATTGCTTTGCTTGTCTCAGCATATTCTCTGGTAGGACGCTCAGCACATTTCTTTGTAGGACTCACAGCAAACACCATAACAAGTCTCTTAGCATGTCATCTTGCAGGATTTACCACAGGTTTCTTTGAACGACTCACAGAATGGCCTTTTTCAGGACTCACAGCAAGTCCTCTTGTAGGACTCATGGCATATCCTCTTGCATGTCTCTCAGCATGCCCTCTTTATAGGACTCAGAGCATGTCTCCCTCCAGGCCTCACAATAAGTCTCCTTGTATGACTTCACATGTATTCCCTAGCATGTCTCTCAGCATGCCCTCTTGCAGGACTCACAGCATGGACCCCTATGTTTCCCATAGGAAGTCCACTTTCTAGTCCCCAAGCAGGTCCCTCTGCTGATCCCCAGACAAGTCACTTAGAAGACTTTCTAATTGTTTCTCTCATAGGCCCTTCCAGAGATACCCACTCAGCTCTCAAAGTACCATTGTAGTTTTCAAGAAACTGTTGAAAGAAAAACAGAAAATAACAAATGATTAGCCATTGGAATATTAAAATGTTTAAAACTAGTAGATATAAGTTATTGTTATAATATTGAGAATATTAAGAATATTGTTAAAATGATGATACTACCCAAAGCGATCAACAGATTTAACATAATTCCTATCAAAATACCAATCACATCCTTCACAGAAATAGAAAATACAAGCCTAAAATTTGTATGGTATCATAAAAGACCCCAAAAAGCTAAAGCAATAATGAGGAAAAAAAAGAACAAAGCTGGAGGCCTCTCACTACCTGATAGTATTAGGCTGTTCTTGCGTTGTTATAAATACTGGAGACTGGGTAATTTATAGAGAAAACAGATTTACTTGACTCATGGTTCTGCAGGTTATACACAAAACATAGCTTTTGGTGAGGCCTCAGGAAGCTTTTACTCATGGGGGAAGGTGAAGTGAGAGCTTGCACATCACACCACAAAGCAGGAGCAAGAAAGAGAGAGTGTGAGGGAGAGGTGTCACACCACACTTTTAAATGACTAAATCTCATGAGAACTCTATCACGAAGACAGCACCACGCCTTGAGGGATCCACCCCTATGGTCCAAACACTTCCCACCAGGCCTCACCTCCACCACTAGGGATTACAATTCAACATGAGATTTGGGTGAGTACAAATATCCAAACTACATCACTAATTTCCAATTATACTACAAATCTGCACCAACCAAAACAGCATGATACTGGCATAAAAACAGGCACAGTGACCAATGGAACAGAACAGAACACCCAGAAATAAATTTATCCCCTTATAGCCAACTCGTTTTCAAAAAGGTGCCAAGAACATACACATAGGAAAAGAGTGTCTCTAAAAAATCATGCTGGGAAAGCTGGATAACCATATGCAGAAGAAATAAACTATATCTTCATTTTTCACCATATAAAAATCAACTCAAAAATGGATTAAAGACTTAAATGTAAGACCTGAAGCTATAAAATTACTAAGATAAAACATTGGAGAAATACTACAGGACATTGGTCTGGGCAAAGATTTTTTGGATAAGACCTTAGAAGCAGAGGCATCAAAGGCAAAATTAAACAAATGAGATTATATCAAGCTAAAAAGCTTTTGCACAGCAATGGAAAAATAGAGTGGGGAGACAACTAGTAGAATAGAATAAATATTTGCAAACTATTAATCTGATAATTAATACATAGAATACATGAGGAACTCAAACAACAGCAAAAATACAATCTGATTTAAAAATAACCATGATATCTGAATAGACATATCTCAAAAGAAGGCATTCAAATGGCCAAGTACATGAAACAATGTGCAAAATCACTAATCATCAGGGAAATGCAAAACAAAACCACAATGAGATATCCTCTTTTCCTTGTTAGAATGGTTATTACCAAAAAAGATGAAAAAAATAACAAATGCTGTCAAGGATGCAGAGAAAAGGGAACACTTTTACACTGCTGGTGGGAATGTAAATTAGTACAACCACTACGAAAAACAGTATGGTGGTTCCTCCAAAAATTAAAATTAAAAATATCATTTGATCCAGCAATCCTACTGCTGAGTATATATTCAAAATAAAGGAAATAAATATATTGAAGAGATATCTGCACTCCCTTGTTTAAGGTAGCACTATTCAGAATAGCCAAGATACAGAATTAACCTAGTATTCATCAATGGAGGAATGAATAAAGATAATGTGGCATATATACACAATGGAATATTTTTTAGGCATAAAAATAATGAATTCCTATTATTTGAATCAAACTGGAGGTTATTATGATAAATGAAATTAGCTGGGCACAGAAAGACAAATATTGCATGTTCTCATTCACATTATGCAGCAATAAAAAAGAATGAAATTCTGTCATTTGCAGCAACATGGATGGAACTTCAGGTCATTATGTTAAGTGAAATAAGCCAAACGTCAAAAGACAAATATTGCACGTTGTCACTCATATACAGTACCTAAAAATGTGGATCTCATGGAGGTAGAGAATAGAATACTGATTACCAGGGGCCAATAAAGGAAGGAGGCGGGAGGAATAAAGAGAAGTTGGCTAAGGGGTACAAAAATACAGGAAAATAGTAGGCATAAGTTCTAGTATTCAGTAGTACAGTAGGGAAATTATAATTAACAATAGTTTATTTTATATTTCAAAATAGCCAGAATAAAAGAACTGTAATGTTCCCAACACAAAGAAAGATATATGTTGGAGGTTATAGATATCCCAATTACATTGATTTTATACAGTTATCAAAATATCACATGTATCACCAAAATATGTACAACTATTATATATCAATAAAAAATAAAGAACCCTGTGCAATATACAGCTTCTTATAGAATGTGTATATTTCCTTATTTTGCAAAAGAGAAACTGAGGAAAGCAAAACCAGAAATTGAAAGAATGGATACCTCCAGTGGATGAGTGGTAATGAAATGCAGGTGATAGGGATGAAATTGAGATTCTTTGACTAAATCTTTTTTAATATAACTTTGATTTTTGAACTATGCACGTAGCTTATACTTTTCAAAAATAAAAATAAATATTGAAAAAGAAAGCCCTAAAACTGACTACAAATGGAAACAAATGAGCCTAGTTGTATATCAAATTAATAACATAACCTTACAGAAGTAATTGATGTAACTTTTGATTATTCTAAGCTTGCCTCCTTAGTTTGACATATATCTTAAAGACAAACAGGACTACAAGACATATTGTATTTTTCTCAACTGATTCATTTTTAGTTGCACTATTCGTATAGTAATTCTAAAACTATTTTGTGTTTATTGTAGGCTATACAATTTTGTGTGAATTATATGAATAAATATGTTGATAATTTTGTAAATTGGGATTTTATAGTAGGTAGATGAAGAAACAAATACGATATAGAGGAAATGAGGAAGGGCCCTATGATATTTGAAATAGAGCTATCAGTGTGAACCTATGATTTAAACACACATACACACACACATATTTTTTAGATTTGTCTACTGAAAAGAGCTTATAAGCAATAACACTGCTGTAGCAATGAGCACACATATTGACTATGTTTTGGTTTCTAAATACCATTCCACACTAAAAAGAGCTAAGATTCTTTGGGACAGTGGCTAATTCCAAGTCTGGGATAGAAAAAGAACAAAGCGATCCTGGAACATCTTATTGCATCAAAAAACAAGGAAGTGCTGAAAGACTTTTGGGGCATATCAAAAGGATATAAAAACTAGTTTGAAGAGCAACCCATTAACCAAATTGGAAACAATTGGAACATAAAAAAATGGCAGTAATAACCTTTAACACACTTAGTAAAATATGAGTCCATGAGTCTTTAGTCATATAAAAAGGAGGGGACAAAGGGAAATCTCTTTCTTACCAAAAAATGCCAGCTAGCAAATAAAAGTTAAAAAAGAAACAAATTATAAAATCACCATTTTATGATTTCCAATGTAATATTGATTCAGACAAAAATAATCACTGGATGCCAAAGCAATTGGGTGAAGTATCTATCACTCCACAGATTACTTACTAATTACCAAGAAGAAAATGTGCCTTTACAATGGAGAGCTCTAGTGGATATCCCTTAACCAAGGTGATAAAACTAATAACAGAACAAGTTAACATGATGCAATGGGGAATGCACACCACTACCTATGTATTATTCCTGCAAAAAATCTTTAGCCTCCTCCATTCATGAGAGAACAATCAGATTACCACAGACTATGAGATAGCTCACAAGGCAAATGGCTTGTAATCTTGAAAAAGGTCAATGTTAGAAAAGGCAAAATAAGAGGGATTGTTCCGTATTAAAGGAGTCTAGAGACATGGCAAACAAATGTTATATTATTGGATCATATATTTAAACACGACAGTTATGGAGGACATTTTTGGGAAAAAGTGAAAAGTTGAAAATAGACCATATATTTGAAAATTTTATCACTTTAGATTGATAACTATTATTGTGGTTATGTAGAAGAATGCCCTGGGACTGAGAAAATATATTCTGAAATATCCAGGGATGATGTCTGCAATTTTCTTTCAAAAGATTCAGAAAAAATAGAAGTGTGTGGAGAGAGGCAGTAACAAAGGGAAAGGAGAGGGGAAGGGAGGAGACAGGAAGAGAACGAGACAAAACATAAATGAACAAATATAAACAGTTACAACTTACCCTCATTGCACATCTAATCAAAGAATAAAGACTTTTTGCATGTATACCCAATTATCTGGGTCAGATAAATAATATTTAAGCCCTAGTTGACAGGTTTAGAGACTGGAAATAAATTATTAAATGTCATTTTATGAACTTCTAGAATCTAACACTTTTGTATATTTACATATATATTTTTTTGAATTAAGAAAATCCAGTGATTTTGTGAAATTTGATGATATCCATTGCTTACAGGAAAAAGAAAAGTGTGTAGAGCACAAGAATTAGCCTAAGAAGAGGGAATTTTTGAGACTTTTGTTTTTCTGCTTCTCTTTCTTTTTCTTGTAAAAGTTAGGGAAAAGCATTCATAGCTAAAAAGAGCAAGAGTGCTAGCAAAGAGAAAAACCTGCTACCTTTTAATGGTATTTTAAAGAGATCCATTTATAAAATATAAATTTAAATATCCACTGCAGAAACATCACACTTGGCAAACATCTTTGAAAATATTACCTGAGAAGCAGGCATTTAAGCAGTATGTTTACTGAAAAGGTCACATTAGCCACATGAAGAATATGCTTCATTATGCTTTCAACTGCCTGATGTAAAAAGCTGACCAACTACTTAGTTACAGAGTAATTAACAGAATGCTTGCTTAACTGTGAAGATAATAGATTTCTTTACATGCCTGTAAATACGTGGGATCAGCAAAAATCACAGTCATGATTTTATTGTACCAACATCAGCTGACCATGAAAGAAAGAGAATTCTCTGAAGAGCCACAAAGTAATAAAACAATAAAAATTGTTATTTTTCTCAAATGTTAGGTTGTATTAAATTAATGGTAGCCAGCAAAACCCCATTAAAACGTTAGCATGGATTCTATAGAATAAAGCAAGATTCGGAGAAAATGGGACGTAGAGTAATTTTGAAGATGAACAGAATACATAGAACAAGATATATTAATGGAGTGGGGAAACCCTGATGAGATGTTTCATGTGAGAGACTAGAACAGATAGAGCACAGCAAAATGATATTTAGTACCCATATGTGGAGTTTCAGTGGAATGTCTAAACAGGAGGGAAGAGTGTGAAGCTTGAGCATTGAAAAACTCAAAGGAAGGGATACTAGCAAATATAAATATAAAGCTCGTTTCAACTTTATTTCTTTTTTAACTTTTAATTTAAGTTCAGTGTACAGTTGCAGGTTTGTTATATAGGTAAACTCGTGTCATGGGAATTTGTTGTACAGATTATTTTGTCACCCAGGTATTAAGCCTATTACCTATTAGTTATTTTTCCTGATCCCCTCCCTCCTCTCACCCTTCAAACTCAAGTAGGCCCCAGTGTGCAAGGCCCAAGTGTTTCCCTCTGTGTGTCCATGTCTTCTCATCACTTAGCTCCCACTTATAAGTGAGAACATGCAGTATTTGGTTTTCTGTTACTGTGCTAGTTTGCTAAGGATAATGGCCTCCACTTCCATCCATGTTGCTGCAAAGAACATTACCTTGTTCTTTTTCCTGACTGTATAGTATTCCATGGTGTATATGCACACATTTTCTTTAACCATTCTACCACTGATCCTCATTTAGGTTGATTCCATGTCTTTGCTATTGTGAATAGTGCTGCAGTAAACATACTATTACATGTATTATTATGATAAAATGACTTATATTCTTTTCGGTATATATCCAGTAATGGGATCGCTAGGTCAAATAGTATTGCTCTGTTTAGGTCTTTGAGGAATTGCCACATTGTCTTCCAAAATGGTTGAACTAATTTACACTCCCACCAACAGTGTATAAGCATTCCTTTTTCTCCACAATCTCGCCAGCATCTGTTATTTTTTGACTTTTAAGTAATAGCCATTTTGACTGATGTGAGATGATATCTCACTGTGGTTCTGATTCACATTTCTCTAATGATCAGTGATGCTGAGCTTTTTTTCATGTTTTCAAACACATGTAAGTCTTCTTTTGTAAAGTGTCTGTTCATGTTCTTTACCCACATACTAATAGGGTTGTTTGTTTTCTTCATGTAAATTTAAGTTCCTTATAGATGCTGGATATTGAACCTTCATTGAATGCATAATTTGCAAACATTTTCTCCCATTTTGTAGGTTGTTGGTCTACTCTGTTGATAGTTTCTTTTGCTGTGCAGAAGCTCTTTAGTTTGATTAGGTTCCATTTGTCAATTTTTGCATTTGTTGTCATTGGTTTTGGCCTCTTTGCCATGAAATCTTGACCCATTCCTATATCCAGAATGGTATTGCCTAGGTTGTCTTCCAGGGTTTTCATGGTTTTGGGTTTTACAATTAAGTCTTTAATCCATCTTGAATTGATTTTTGTATATGGTACAAGAAAGGGGTCCAGTTTCAATCTTCGGCATATGGCTAGCCAGTTATCCCAGTACCATTTATTCAGTAGGGAATCCTTTCCCCACTGCTTGTTCTTGTCAGGTTTGTCGAAAATTAGACAATTGTAGCTG
Source organism: Homo sapiens (assembly GCF_000001405.40). Classification (NCBI taxonomy): domain Eukaryota; kingdom Metazoa; phylum Chordata; class Mammalia; order Primates; family Hominidae; genus Homo; species Homo sapiens. The sequence continues at coordinate 84,795,535 of NC_000023.11, read as the reverse complement.
TGCAGACTTATTTCTGGGCTGACTATTCTGTTCCCTTGGTCTATGCATTTATTTTTGTACCATACTGTTTGGGTTACTGTAGCCTTGTAGTATAGTTTGAAGTCAGGTAGCATGATGCCTCCAGCTTTGTTGTTTTTGCTTAGGAATGCCTTGGCTATTCAGGCTCTTTTTTGGTTTCATATGAGTTTTAAAATAGTTTATTCTATTTCTGTGAAGAATGTCCTTGGTAGTTTGATAGGAATAGCATAGAATCTACAAATTGCTTTGGGTAGTATGGCCATTTTAATGATAATGATATTTCCTACACAGTAGCCTGGAATGGTTTTCAAATTTTTTGTGATCTCTGATTTATTTGAGAAGTGTTTTGTAGTACTCCTTGTGGAGATCTTTCACTTCCCTAGTCAACTGTATACCTAGGTGTTTTATTTTTTTGTGGAAATTGTGATTGGGGCTGTGTTCCTGATATGGCTCTCGGCTTGACTACTGTTGGTCTATAGAAATGCTAGTTATTTTTATACATCAATTTTGTATCCTGAGACTTTGCTGAAGTTGTTTATAAGCTTAAGGAGCTTTTGAACTGACACATAGAATCATGATTTCTGCAAAGATTGTTTGACTTCTTATATTCCTATTTGAATGAAATTTATTTCTTTTTTTTGCCTGATTTCCCTGGCCAGGATGTCTAATACTATGTTGAATAGGAGTGGTGAGAAAGGGCATTCTTGTCTTGTGCTGGTTTTCAATGGCAATGCTTCCAGCTTTTTCCCCTTCAGTATGATGTTGGCTTTGGGTTTGCCATACATGGATCTTATTATTTGGAGGTATATTCAAGACCTACTTCATTCAAAGCTCTTAACATAAAGAGGTGTTAAATTTTATCTAAAGCCTATTCTGCATCTACTGAGATAATCATGTGGTTTTTCACTTTGGTTCTGTTTATGTGATCAATTATATTTATTGATTTGTGTATGTTGAACCAAACTTGCATCCCAGAAATAAAGCCTGCTTGATCACAGTGGATTAGTTTTTTGATGTGTGGCTGGATTTAGTTTGCCAGTGTTTTGTTGAGGACTTTTACAATTATGTTCATCAATGATATTGGCCTGATGTTTTCTTTTTTTGTTGTGCCTCTGCCAGGTTTTGGTATCAGGATGATGCTTCCCTCTTAGAATGAGTTAGGGAGGAGTTCCTCCTTCTCAATTTTTGGGAATAGTTTTAGTAGAAATGGTACCAGCTCTTCTTTGTACATCTGGTGGAATTTGGCTGTGAATCCATCAGGTGCTGGGTTTTTGTTGTTGTTGTTGTTGGTAGGCTATTTATTACTGATTCAATTTCAAAGCTTTTTATTGGTCTGATCAGGAATTCAATTTCTTCCTGGCTCAGTCTTGGGAGGTTGTATGTGTCCAGGAGTTTATCCATTTATTCTAGATTTTCTAGTTTATGTCTATGGAGGTGTTCATAATATTCTCTGAGGATTATTTTTATGTCTTTGGGGTCAGTGGTAATATCCCCTTTAGTGTTTCTAATTATGTTTCTTTGAAACTTTTATATTTTCTTTTTTTTTAGTCTAGCTAGTGGTATATCTATTCTATTACTTTTTTCAAAAAACAACTTCTGAAATCATTGATCAAGGGTGTCTTCTTGTGCCTCAATTTCCTTCAGTTCAGCTCTGATTTTCATTATTTTCTTTTTTCTACTAACTTTGGCATTTATTTGCTTTTGGTTCTCTAGTTATTTTAATTGTGATGCTAGTTTGTTAAATTGTGACTGTTCTAATGTTTTGATGTGGAAATTTAGTGCTATACATTTCCCTCTTAATACTGCCTTAGATATGTTCCAGAGTTTCTGGTATGTTCTATCTTTGTTCTCCTTAGTTTCAAAGAACTTTTTGATTTCTGCCTTACTTTCATTATTTACTCAAAATCATTCAGGAGCAGGTAATTGATTTTCCATGTAATTTTATGGTTTTGAGCAAATTTCTTAGTCTTGATTTCTAATTGGATTGTGCTGTCGTCTGAGAGAGCATTTCTTATGATTTTAGTACTTTTGTATTTGCTGAGGAGTGTTTTTTGTCCAATTACGTGGTTGATTTTAGAGTATGTGTCACGTGTTGGTGAGAAAAATGTATATTCTATTGCTTTTGGGGTGGAGAGTTCTGTACATGTCTATCAGGTCAATTTGATCCAGTGCTAACTTCAGGACCTGAATATCTTTGTTAATTTTCTCCCCCGGTAATCTGTCTAATATTCTCTGTGTGGTGTTGAAGTCTCCCCCTATTATTTTATGAGAGTCTAAGTCTCTTTGAAGGTCTCTAAGAACTTGCTTTATTAATCTGTGTGCTCCTGTGTTGGGTGCATATATAATTAGGATAGTTAGGTCTTCTTGTTGACTTGAACCCTTTACCATTATGTAGTGCCCCTCTTTGTCTTTTTTTTTTTTATCTTTGTTGGTTTAAAGTCTGTTTTGTCTCAAATTAGAATTGCAACCTCTGCTTTTTTTTTGTTTTCCACTTGCCCGGTAGATTTTCCTCCAACCCTTTATTTTGAGCCTATGTGTGTCATTGCATGTGAGATAGGTCTCTTGAAGACAGTATCCCAATGTGTCTTGGTTCTTTATGCAGCTTGCCAATCTTTGACTTTTAATTTGGGTACATAGCCCATTACATTCAAGGTTAGTATGGTTATGTGTAAATTTGATCCTGTCATCATGATGCTAGCTGGTTATTTTGCAGAGTTGTTTATGTGGTTGCCTCATAGTGTCACTGGTCTATATACTTCAGTGTGTTTTGGTAGTGGCTGGTAATGGTCTTTCCTTTCCATATTTAGTGCTTCCTTCAGGAGCTCTTGCAAGGCAGGTGTGGTGGTGATGAATTCCCTCAGCATTTGCTTGTCTGAAAAGGATCTGTATTTCCTGAATTGAATGTTGGCCTCTCTAACTAGATTGGGGAAATTCTCATGAATTATATCCTAAATTATGTTTTCCAAGTTGCTTCCATTCTCCCCATCTTTTTCAGGGACACCACTGAGTCATAGGTTTGGTCTCTTTACATAATCCTATATTTCTCAGAGGTTTTATTCATCCCTTTTTTTCTATATTTTATTCTTGTCTGCCTGTCTTATTTTAGGAAGCCAGTCTTTAACCTCTGAGATTCTTTCCTCAGCTTGGTCTATTCTGCTATTAATACTTGTGATTGCATTATCACATTCCTGTAGTGTGTTTTTCAGCCCTATGAAGTCAGTTACATTCTTTTCTCTACTGGCTATTTTGTGTCAGCTCCTGTATAATTTTATTGTGATTGTTATCTTCCTTGGATTGGGTTTCAACATACTCTTACATCTCAATGATCTTTGTTCCCATCCATATTCTGAATTATATTTCTGTCATTTCAGCAACCTCAGCCTGGTTCAGAATCCCTGCTGTGGAAGTGGTGTGGTCTTTTGGAGAAGAGAAGGCACTCTGCATTTTTGAGTTGCCAGAGTTCTTGCATTGGTTCTTTCTCATCTTTTTGGGCTGATGTTTCTTCAATCTTTTATGTTGCTTACCTTTGGATAGTTTTTTTTTTTCTTTTTGTCCTTTGTCATGACTTAGAGTGTTTGATAGTGAAATAAAGTGAATTCAGCTAACTGGATTCATTTCTGGAAGGTTTTAAGGGGCCAACGCTCAGCTCCCGACTCCTGGACTGCATGTTCTAACTCTGGGGGACTTATATCAGACCTCAACTTTGTTCTCTGGATTCTCGAGGATAGGAATATTCTACATTATGGGGGCTGAAGTGCTCCCGACTGCTCGCTACTACACTCTGATGGGTGATATCAGCTAAAGGTTTTCATAGTGAGGAGGCAGTGCCTCATTTGCTTTTGTCAGCAGCAGTGGCAAGAGCAGTGCAGTGGGGTGCACACTCTTCATCTGCAGCAAGTTGCTAGCAGGTGTTGGGGTACCTGCCTCCCTGTGATCATTCACCTCAGGGGCAGGGACAGCATGGCTTTGGGGGTGGGGAAGGGGCCTTTGCTGGTGACTATGTGCATTGTCATGCTGGTGGTGGTGTTATCATGGGGACAGGGCGCTGGCAGGAGCAGGTCTGTGTGCATTCTCTGTGCGCCACGGGTAAGGGTGGACACTCACCACAGAAGAGTGTTTGCTGTTCTCTGTGTCTAGTTTTACTCCTGCAGCAGTGTTGGTGCAAGGGCAAGGTGCTGTCAGGAATGGGCTGGCTGGTTCTATGCCTGCCAAGGCTCTGACTGCAGTGGCAGTCTGGCGAGGTAATGGGAGGTTGAGTACACTCTTGCCACAACAGTAGTAGGGCAGAGTGCATGCACACAGATGTGCTGGTGGGGCAAGTAAGGAAAAACCCACCTGTGCACACACATGCTAGCAAAACAGTGTAGGGTGGTGCCATGGTCCCAGGGGAAGCTGCAGTGAGGGGAAGGAGTGGGTGGCCTGTTGCAAGGCTATGGAGGACACCCTGCTGGAAGTGTCCAGCAGTCAGGCACATTCTGCCAGTGCAGGAGCTATGCTATGGGCCTCCAGGGCACCTGAAGCTGCCCTGAAAGCAGGCGCAACCAGGCTGGGTCCCCAAGAGAGGCCAGCAGACCAAGGGGTGCTCAGGTTAAACCTGCCCTATCTGGTGAATAAGACTGCCCTGCGGAGTTCAGGTCTGACAGTTCCCCTAGGGCTAAAGTCTGCTGTGGGCACAAGTTGAGCCTAGGGAGATGGTCTTCTCCAGCTGTGCTTCATTACACATGCTCCTGCACCAAACCCCCTGGGCTCTGCTTCCTCTGGCATCCTGCCCCTACCACTTCTCTAAGCAGCTCTTCCTGCCAACTTAAGATGGTGGTCATGGGGTTTTCTTCTGTTGGGAATCTAGAGGCCTGTGATGAGAGCAGGTTGTTCCTTGCCAGTTCAACTCACCCATTCCTCTGGAGTTACTAGGGACCAGGAATTAGTCCTGGTGTACAGTAGCCCGGTGTGGGGTTTCCAGCTTCCTCCCACTTCAGCCCAGCTTCTGTGTCTTCCCTCTCTCCACTCTCGGTACCTTCTATCTGAAGATTTCTAAGAAAAGCACCAGTCTTCTCAGCCCCTTGGTGGCAGCTTTTTCACCTGGTTGCACCTAGTCAGTCACATTGTCCTCCCCTACCTTTATTTCAGAAAGATATTTTAGTAGATATTGAGTTCTAGATTGAGAGTATCTTTTTTCTTTCAGTAAAGATGTCAATCCTATACCTTCAGGTATCCTTTCTTTCTGATAAGAAGTCAGTGATAATTCTTATAGTATAATCTTTATGTATGTCAGTGGTTTGCAAACTATGACCTGTGGACTTTTTTGTGTGCCTTATGAGCTAAAATGGGTTTTATACTTTTAAAGTTATTTTAAAAAGCAAGGAGTATGCCACAGAGGAGACCATATGTGGCCCCAAAGCCTAAAAGATTTACCATCTCCTGCTGAATATCATGCATCTTTTGCCTCTGATGCTTTTCAAATTTTTCTCTTTATCTGTGCTTTTCATCAGTTCGACTATCATGTGCCTAGGTGTGGTTTTCTTTACATTTATATTGCTCGAAGTTTGGTAGCCTTTCAAGATTTTGTAAGTTCCCATTCTGCTTTTATCAGATTTGAGACATTTTTATCTATTTGAAAAAAATTTTTTTTTCCTACCCCAGTATTATTCTTTTTTTACCGGAACTCTGAGGAGAAATATTTTATATCATTATATTGTGGCACAGATACCCAAAACTCTTTTCATTTTTTTAAATTCTTTTTTCCTCTGTTTCTCAAGTTGAGTACTTTTTAAAATCTCTTTTTATGTTCATTGACTCCTATGCCATCTCCAGTCTGCTTTTAAGCCCCGCTGCCAATCAATCTTTCATGCTAGTTACTGTGGTTTCCAAATTCTAGTATTTCAACTGGGTTTATTTTAATAGTTCTCATTTCTTTGTTGATCTTCATTGTCTGTTCACATATTTTTCTTTAATTCTTTTAACCTACTTATAACATTTACCTTAAAGTCTTTGACTTCTGAGTAGTCTGGCAAGCCTGATGTGGTCTCACCCTGCACACGTATGGCTCAACCTTCAACCACGATCTTGTGGGAGACCTCCCAAACAACCACGATCTTGTGGGAGACCTCCCATACAGAGCCTGGGGCCCCTTTTATGCAAAGCTCTGCTCTTGGTCCATGCTTATCCTCACAGATTCCACCCACTTCAGCTTCCCAAACTCTGACCTCTACCATCTTATCTCATTGTGACTATTGTGTACTACATGGCCTACAGATCTCTGTGCTGCTGTGAGGAAACTTTCCCCGGCAGAGAGCTAGGTAGTCATGGGTTCAACTTGCAACTTTCCTTGCTCTCAGGGATCATGGTCATGCATTATTTGTTGCATACTGATCAAAAATAATTGTTTCATCTGTGTTGTTCAGTTTTGTAATTGTCTACAGTGGTAAGGCTAATCTGATAGCAGTTACTCCATCAGGACTGGAAACAGAAATTTCTCAAAGATGAACTTCAAAAAATAATTTGTTTTGGTTAACCTTGTATATTATTACAAGTGTAAGAAGGGTAGGGATATATTCCTCTCAGCTGTCTTGAGGTTAAGGGAGAAAAAGATGAAGAATAAAGACTAGATAATATGTATTGACTGGTTACTATGAACCTGTTAATATGCTAAATACTTTACACAAATCAACGCATTTAATCCTCACAGTACTTCTTTGAAGTAGATACTACTACTACCCTCATTTTACAGATAAATAAAATAAGAACAGAATAGTGAAGTCACTTGCCCAAGGTCACAGAGTGTTAATTGATGAAACAGGAATTCAGACTCTACTAGTCTGATTCCCGAGTTTATATTTGATTTTAACCAATGTTCTACACTGGCTTAGTAAAACAAGAAGTAAGAATAGTCACTCCAAGTTGAAGTGCATATCCTACTCTGGCTTCTATTAAGAAGGAATGCACTATGGATGTTTTATTTTAAAACTGGTTTATTCACAGGTAATTTTTATCAAAACTTCTGTGATACAGCAGAAGCAGTACTAAGAGGAAAGTTTATAGCACAAAATACATACACCAAAAAGTCTGAAAGATCACAAATTGATAACCTCATACCTCAAAAAAATAGAGATACAAGAACTAACTGAACCCAAAGCTAGCAGAAGAAAAGAAATAAAAAAGATCAGACCAGATCTTAAATAAAATTGAAACAGAAAAGAAATAATACAAAAGATCAATAAAACAAAAATCTGGTTCTTTGAAAAGTTAAACAAAATTGATAGACCATTAGCTAGATTAACCAAGAAACAAAGAGAGAAGATTCAAACAATCTCAATTAGGAATGAAAACTGGAGACATTACAACTGACACCACAGAAATTCAAAAGATCATTTGAGACTATTATGAGCACTTCTCTGCACACAAGCCAGAAAACTTAGAGGAAATAGATCAATTCTGGGAAACATACAACCCTCCTAGATTAAAATAGGAAGAAATAGAGACCTTGAACAGACTAATCACAAGCAATGACATAAAGTCAGTAATAAAGAATTGCCAACCGAAAAATAAGCCAAGGGCCAGAGGAATTCACAGCTGAATTTTACCAGACACTCAAAGATAAATTAGTACCATTCCTACTGAAACTATAACAAAAGATTGAGATAGAGGGAATCCTTGAATCATTCTATGAAGCCAGTACCACCCTGATACCAAAACAAGGAAAGGACATAGTGAAAAAAGAAAACTACATGCTAATATCTCTGATTAATGTAGATGCAAAAATCCTCAACAAAATACTTGCTAACTAAATCCAACAGCATTTTATAAAATCCAGCATCCCTTTATGAGAAAAATCCTCAACAAACTAGACATAGAAGGGACCTACCTTAAAATAATAAAAGCCATCAATGACAAACTCACAGCCAGCAGCATACTGAATAGGGAAAAGTTGAAAGCATTTCCCCTGAGAACTGCAACAAGATACGTATGCCCACTTTCACCATTTCTATTCAACATAGTACTGGAAGTCTTGGCAAGAGCAATCAGGCAAGACAAAGAAATAAAGTACATCAAAATCAGAAAAGAGGAATTCAAACTATTGCTGTTTGCAGATGATATTATCATATAGCTAGAAAATCCTAAAGACCACACCAAAAGACTCTTGGATTTAAGAAGTGAATTCTATAAAGGCTCAGGTTACAAAATTAATGTACACAAATCAATAGCACTGCTATACACCAACAACAACCAGGCTGAGAATCAAATTAAGAACTCAATACCTTTTAAAACAGCTGCAAATTAAAAAATACCTAGGAATATACTTAACCAAGGTGGTGAAAAATCCCTATAAGAAGAACTCAAAACACTGCTGAAGAAATCATAGATGACACAAACAAATAGAAACACATCCCATGCTCATTAATTAGGAGAATCAATATTGTGCAAAAGACCATAATGCACAAAGAAATCTACAGATTCAATGTAATTCCCATCAAAATACCAACATTATTTTAACAGAATTAGGAAAAAAAAAACCCTAAAATTCATATGGAACCAAAAAAGAGCCTGAATATTTAAAGCAATGCTAAACAAAAAGAACCAATCTGGAGACATCACATTGCCAGACTTCAAGTTATACTACAAGACTATAATTACCAAAGCAGTATGGTACTGGTAAAAGGTAGGCACATAATCCAATGGAATAAAATAGAGGACCCAGAAATAAGCCAAATACTTAAAACCAACTAATCTTCAACAAAGCATATGAAAACATACATTGAGGATAGGAAAACCTGTTTAATAAATGGTGCTGAGAAAACTGGAGAGCCACATGTAGAAAAGCAAAACTGGATCCCTGTCTTTCACCATCAATAAAAATCAACTCAAGATGGATCAAAGACTTAAATCTAAGACCTGACACCATAAAAATTCTAAAAGAATACCTAGGAAAAACTCTTCTGAAAATTGGTCTAAGCAAAGAATTTATTACTAAGACCCCAAAAGCAAATGTTACCAAAACAAAAATAAATAAATGAGACCTAATTAAACTGAAAAGCTTCTGTACAGCCAAAGAAATAATCAACGGAATAAACCGACAACCCATAGAGGGGAGAAAATATTCATAAACTATGCATTTGACAAAGGACTAATATTCAGAATCTACAGGGAACTCAAACAAATCAGCAAGAAACAAACAATCCCATCCAAAAGTGGGCAAAGGATATAAATAGGCATTTCTCAAAAGAAGATATACAAATGGCCAACAAACTTGAAAAAAATGCTCAACGTCACTAATTATCGGGGAAATGCAAATTAAAGCCACAATGAGATACCACCTACTCCTAGAAGAGTGGCTACTATTTAAAAAATCAAAAAACAATAGATGTTGGCTTAAATGTGGTGAAAATGCAAAATTTGTACACAGCTAGTGGGAATGTAAATTAGTACAATCTCTATGAAAAACAACATGGAGAGTCCTTAAAGAGCTGAAAGTAGATTTTTCATTTGATCCAGCAATCCCACTATTGGGTATCTACCCGAAAGAAAATAAGTTGTTACATGTAAAAGACTCATGCACACATATGTTAATTGCAGCCCAATTCACAATTGTAAAGACATGGAACCAACCTAAGTGCCCATTGACCAATAAGTGGATTAAAAAAATGTGGTATATAAACCCCATGGAATACTACTCAGCCATAAAAGGAGCAAAATAATGTATTTTGCAGCAACTTGGAAGGAACTGGAGGGCATTAGTCTAAATGAGGTAACTCAGAATAAGAAAACCAAACACCGTATGCTCTCACTTATAAGTGGGAGCTAAGCTATGAATACACAAAGGCATACAGAGTGATATAATGGACTTTGGAGACTCAGAAGTGGGACAGTGAAAGGGGGGCATGGGATGAAAACCTGCATATTGGGTACAACATACACTATTCAGGTCACAGGCACAGTAAAATCTCAGAATTCACCACCATATAATTTATCCATGTAACCAAAAATGATTTGTACCCCAAAAGCTATTGAAATAAAAGCAATTTTTTTAAAAAGACTAAGCAAAACTGTTACAATCCTTTCCCAAAGGGATGTTCAGAGATTTCAAACAGAACACTCATATAACTAAAAACAGTAAGACTGTGGAGTTATTTTATACCTCTTTTCTTCACTTAGTATGCACAATGAGATAGCCCAAAATGCACTAAGTCAAAACTGAGAAACCTTATTTATGAGTTCAGTATTATTATATATGCCTTTCCCTAAAGTATCATTGTTAAAAACAATACATTTAGAATTATGACATTCGTTGACTGATAGTGATGCACATACATCGTCTCCACCATCTTTTTTATTTATGCTATTGGCTAAATATACAATGTTGATACTGTTGCCAATATACTGTCTTTTTCGTTTCAGAAACTACCAATTAATATAGCCATACATCGTTGAACTGGCAAATCATGTCTCAGTTAAAAGGACACACTATTTAGTAAGGGGTTCCTTATTAAAATAACAATGTCCTTATTAAAATAATAATGTCTTTATTAAAATAATAATGTCCTTATTAAAATAAGGAATTTAGTAATTCCTTATTTTACTTCATTTTTAAAATGAGAGGCTTATAAAATTTTTTCCAGGTCCTTTCTAACACTAACCTTCTTTTTATATTTCAGTAGTTTTTGGGGTACAGGCGTTTTTTGGTTACATGGATAAGTTCTTTAGAGGTGATTGATGAGATTTTGGTGCATTCATGATCTAAACAGTGTACACTGTACTCAATATGTAGTCTTTTTATTCCTCACCTCCTACTTCCCCCCAAGTCCCCAAAGTCCATTATATCATTCTTATGCCTTTGCACCCACATTGCTTGGCTCCCACTTATAAGTGAGAACACACGATATTTGATTTTTCACTCCTGAGTTACTTCACTTAGAATAGTGGCCTCCAGCTCAACCAAAATGCTGCAAAGGCCATTATTTCATTCCTTTTTATGGCTGTCTAGTATTCCATGGTGTATATATACTACATTTTCTTTCTCCACTCATTTAGGTTGCTTCTATATTTTTGCAATTGTGAATTATCTTTTTAGCACTAACTTGCTGCGATTCAACAAATCTAATTAAGATATACTTATTAATCAAAATAGGAAATTTGGGCTTTTCACTAATTCAAAATAATTTCTCATAATTATTTTGAAGTAATTAGAGTACAATAATGTTGAAACAATGATATTTGCTTTCATTTATGGATTTTTGTGAAGGCGACATTTCAAAGTATAGAGTGGATACAATCTGGGCAGTAAGTTTAAAACAAAATGTGTAGACAGTTACTAATAGGAAGGACTAAACTTTTGGAAATTCATCATAAATTCCCACTATTATAGTCCTGTCAGGAACGTTATTTTCTCAGATATGTCCATTATTTGCTCCATCCCTTTTTTCAGGCCACTGCTTAAATGTCACCATGTATATAGTGGTAGTCAGACCTTCTCTGACTACCCTATCTAAAATATGAACTTCTCTTCTATTATTTGGCTTTTGAATTCTTATTTGTGAAACCTAGAAAGAACTTTAGAAATTCTCCTGCTCATCCTGATTTTGAAAAATCTGATTCCCACAGAGTTGAAGTACCATCTTATCTAATATTTTTTAAACTCAAAGGTGAAGGCATTAAATGGAATGGTGTTCAAGTAAGGACTTGATGAATTAACAACAAAATAAAATGTGGAAACATTGCACTGAACAGAGCTTCTTCTTCTAATAAAAGAATAAAACCCATTTACATGTATTATTGATATGTTTGGGCTTTTCCTGCTATTTTATTTTCTTGTATTTTTTGTTTGTTTGCTGGCTTGTTTGCAGTGCTTTCATTTCTTTTATTTCTTTCATATTCTTGGGTTTGAGCAGGTTTTATGTGTTCTTTTTCCCCCATCATAGTTTGGAAAGTATACAGATGATTTTTATTGTTCTACTGATTACCCTGACATTTCAAGCAAACATATCTTATCTTGTACTTTTAAAATCACCATGTGGCTATATTACTATTCTCCTCCGATAAACATCCTTTTATTTTCCTATTCACGCCAGCTACTTACATGTTTTTAGATCACTTGAGAGAAAGTTTGTGTTAAAACACTTACCATTAAATTATGTTCATGAGCACTGCCTTTAAATTTTTTTTCTATGAGAAAACAGGACAGCTTGAATAATAGGAGGCCATTCTATATAAAACTTAAGGCAATATCTTTAAATAGGTAAATACTATATTTTCAAATTCTGTCAGCAATCAACATATTCAAATGATTCATAGATGAACAATTTTATATGTATAATAAAATTATGACAGACATCCTCTGAATGCCACTGCTTCAGATATTTTAGAGTGCATAACTGGCAGAGAAACTTTTATTTCCTATGCTAAATTCTTAGTAAATTTATATACATATTTGTAAATTTATATTTGTAATAATAGATTTAGAAAATCTATCCTGTGCCTAATGTCTCTTAATGAGGTATTTTCCATAGACTTTTGGGTTGAACTAAAATGGAAAACCTCATAAACAAAATTACTTTCTGGTTTACAGATAGTGAGGAACTTCATGTTCTCAAATTATCCTATTAAGCTCAGATATTGAGCAGTAAAAAAATGAAATATTCCGAGGGAAGAAAACCCAGCAAATCAAAACTAAATTAAGAATCTGCTTTGTTTTCATTATTTTGAAGGCATGGTGTTTTTTGCTGTTGTTATTGGAACAGAGCAGGAGGAAAAATACCAAAATCAGACCAAGGGTTTCACCAATGATATTCTCTGTTATTAGTGCTTCTCAAACTGTGGGCCACCTACATCAGAATCATCTGGTGCTTGTTAACATGCATAATCTTTGTCCAAATACGGACTTACTGGGTCAAAACATTTGGGAAGTGGGAGTGGGAGCCAAGAATATACAGTTTAAAAAAGTTATCAGGAATTGTTATGCACATTATAGTTTAAGAACCACTGGCTTAAAGCAATGTTAGAAACAGACTGTTGACCTGTAAATTTCACATAAGATGTAGAAGCTCATTCGGGGGTACAGACATCAAGGTATCCTGAAAAACAGTCCTCATCTAGAGTAGAGTGCTCTTTATGTGCAATCAGAAGATCTGGTACTTAACAGCTTTCTCAATTTGGTTAAGACATTCGATTCCTCTGAGCTTCAATGCCCTTAGCTGTTAAAGTGAATAAATGTTATCCACTTTCCAAATAATTGTGAGGATTAAATCAAACATTTGGTGTACAAATGCCTTATAAACTGTAAAGTGTTTTAAAATCCCTTATTATATTATTAATAAGCCAATAAAGACCTAAACAAAAAGTATAGTTTCATTCTATCAGAACCTCACTATATATTTTTCCTTTATGTTCTTTGTAGAAGACCTTAAACAAGACCCCTTTCGGCATGCTAGAAACTAAAATCTCTCGAAGATGAGACAAAATATTTAGTGTAGGTGTCCAGAAATCCTGAACATGAATTGTTGAGTGAAATTACACTATTGCTCCATCTATTTAACTGTCATAATTCATTCACAATAAAATGGTAGCTGATTTTTATTTTTATCTGCCTATTTATTTTGAGGGTATTAAAGTCAAACACCAAAAACTGAGAAGTACATTCAGTCAAGTTAACTATTTTGCACTCCATGATAATTAACGAAGCGTTTTCATTTCAAAACCTCTTGTAATAATTACAATTAGCTATAGACAATGAACCAAAAAAGGAATAAAAGTTGATGCATAATATGGTTTGGCTCTGTCCCTACCCAAATCTCATCTGGAATCGTAATCACCATAATCCCCATTTGTCAAGGGAGGAACTCAGTGAGAGGTGATAGGATCACGGGGGCAATTTCTCCCATGCTATTCTTGTGATAGTGAGTAAGTGCTCACAAGATCTGATGGTTTAATAAGGCAGCTTTCCCTGCTCTTGCTAGCACTTCTCTCTCTTGCCACCACATGAAGAAGGTCCTTGCTTCCCCCTCACCTTCAGCCATGATTGTAAGTTTCCTGAAGCCTCTCAGTCATATGGAACTGTGAGGTCTTTATAAATTACCCAGTCTCAGGCAGTTCTTTATAGCAATTTGAAACTGGAATAGTACAATGCATGACCAAGTGCATGGGAAAAAGGGCAAGAGACAAGATGAGTCACTCCCACCTGGTGGTCTTTGCTACCTTTTGAGAAGAAACCTGTGAGTGTATCAGTTGGTATATTGGAGAACATTCACAAAACAGGCAGACGACTCAACATCCTTTTAACCTCAGACTTCAAGACAAAGCTGCTGTGAGTGCACAAATAAGACCTGTTTATTTATTGATTGATGTAGCAGCAAAGTATAAGAGACAGAGAAGTAGATTGGGAAAGAGAGACTTGAGTTTAGAAACTGTTCCATGTCTTACTAACTGGCAAGAGGCACTTATCTCTTGGTATGTTATGGAATCTATAAAATGGGTATAGTAAAAGCTTCATTCTTTTCTTGTCATGGGGATTTACAAATTTTATGAAGAGAGAAGAAATTTCGAAATGTTAAAGCATTCTAAAATGTAGAGAATTCTTTTAACATATGGAAAATTTGTCATGTAATTTTAAACTTCCATACTACATTAGTTTAAAACTAGCATTTTGATCAGATAGGACTATGTGTGTTTGTGTGGGTGTATGTAAGTAAATTAAATTCTGCTATTTTGACACGGCCATATTCTCCCTTTAGACCCTAATTATTTTTTCTTTACATGATATTTACTTACCAGCATGTAAACCTGGGTTCAAGAAAGAGGAGAACATCCTGAAAAGTGTGCTTTGAAGATTTTTACTATATATTAATTGGAGGGTCAACTTTGATATTAGCATTTAGCCCATAGTGATACGGGAGTGCTGGGAAGAGAAGAGCATGGTCCTTTTAAATGATATGGAAGTGGGGAAGGGAAGTGCTGGATAGAGAAAGGTGGGTCCCTGGCTAGAGCCAGACCAAGGTGAGGCCAGGCACTCCTGCTTTCTCACTCAAATGTTACATTTTCCAAGACCACCTTGGCCCCGCCATGCCCCCATCCTGGGCCTATAAAAACCTGAGACCCGGCTGGGTGTGATGGCTTATGCCTGTAACCCCAGTACTTTGGGAGTCCGAGGCAGGTGGATCATGAGTTCAAGAGTTTGAGACCAGCCCGGCCAACATAGTGAAACCTTGTCTCTACTAAAAATATGAAAAATTAGCTGGGCGTGGTGGCGGATGCCTGTAATCTCAGCTACTTGGGAGGCTGAGGTAGGAGAATCACTTGAACCTGGGAGAAAAAGGTTGCAGTGAGCCGAGATCATGCCATTGCACTTCAGCCCAGGCCACAGTGTGAGAATCCAACTCAAAAAAAAAAAAAAAAGTCCAAAACCCGAGATCCTAGCAGGCAGACACACAGGCAGCCAGACGTCGAGAGGAGCACAACAGCAGAAGGAGACACAAGACACTTGTCATCGAGAGGAGCACGCTGACAGAAGAGCACACCAACAAGCCATCGACTGGCAGAACTGACGCAGTCGGAGGAGAGCCTGGGCCGCCTGAGCTGCCAGAGTCCAGGGGAAGACCATCTCCCTTCTGGCTCCCCCAGAAGAGAGTTATTTCTACTCAATAAAACCTTGCACTCATTCTCTAAGATCACGTGTGATCCAATTCTTTGGGTACATCAAGGCAAGAAACCCCAGGTTACAGAAATCCCTCTGTCCTTGTGATAAGGAAAGGGGTCTAATTGAGCTAACACAAGCTACCTATAGGCGGCAAACTAAAAGAACACCCTGTAACACACGCCCACTGGGGCTTCAGGAGCTGTAAATATTCACCCTTAGACACTGCCGTGGGATTGGAGCCCCACAGCCTGCCAGTCCGTATGCTCCCCTGGAGGTTTGAGCAGCAGGGCACTGAAGAAGTGAGCCACACTCCCATTGTACACCCTGTGAGGGGAACAAGGGAAATTTTCCTGTTTCAATAGCAGGAATGAGAAAGAAATGATTTCAAAGAAAATGAGAAAATAGTTTAACTTTTCTGAGGAGTTTTCCAAGATTCTTTCCAAAATTATAATGTAATATTCTCCTTTCTATTTCCAGGGGATAAGATGATGCCTATTCAATAACTTCTGGTTGGCTGATAAGGAATATTTCACCCATGACATTGCTTCTGATTTCAAAGATAAGTGAGCCATGTGTAATAATACATAGTCAATCATGAAACAAGTGTAAACAAGTGTCACAAGTCAAGTGGTGTTTAGAGTTTTACTGAACATACAAACCCATTCCCTCCAAGTGCAGGTTTAGGTTAACCCACTCTACTGAAGGCTTTTGTCATGGCACATGCACCAAGGAACTTAATCCATTGTCATTATAATCTTGGTTCTCATCAGCTCATCCTAGGTACTAGAGTCCAGCAGCCTCCATGTTAACTTTGGTAGCTTGAGATTTGTTCCATCCATCATGTTTACCAATATTAGTTTCTTTCCTATAAACACTGTTTGCCTCACTCCTCTTGGTATCACACTCCTCTTTCTGCAAATCTTAAATAATTTCAAAGCTCTTGGTACAGCAAATATTACAGGATCTTCAGTGTCTTCTTTGAACTTCATTTAAGATACATGACCTATTATTCATATCCTTCCCCCACTTCAATGACAGACTGGATTAAGAAAATGTGGCACATATACACCATGGAATACTATACAGCCATAAAAAAGGATGAGTTCATTTCCTTTGTAGGGACATGGATGAAGCTGGAAACCATCATTCTCAGCAAACTATCACAAGAACAAAAAACCAAACTCTGCATGTTCTCACTCATAGGTGGGAATTGAACAATGAGGACACTTGGACACAGGAAGGGGAACATCACACACCGGGGCCTGTTGTGGGGTGGGGGGAGGGAGGAGGGAAAACATTAGGAGATATACCTAATGTAAATGACGAGTTAATGGGTGCAGCACACCAACATGGCACATGTATACATATGTAACAAACCTGCACGTTGTGCACATGTAACCTAGAACTCAAAAGTATAAAAAAAAAAAAAAAAAAAAAAGATACATGACCTAAAGATAAGAGCTCTCTGGCAATTTTATTCTCCCGGCAATAGCCACTCAAAGCAGTAGTTTTCAGGCACAATTAACTATCCTTTAAGATACATATTTTAGTTTTGGTTTGCTTCATATGAAGGCAGAATAGGGCATCTTATCACAGGGTATTATTTGAAAAGCATGAAAAGACTTGCTTGCTAAACATAGTTCTTTTTTGCTAACTTGCCAAAGTACTTTTTTTTATTTTTTGAGATGGAGTCTCTGTCACCCAGGCTGAAGTGCAGTGGCACGATCTCAGCTCACTGCAACCACTGCCTCCTGGCTCAAACGATTCTCCTGCCTCAGGGAGTAGCTAGGACTACAGGCATGTGCCACCATGCCTGGCTAATTTTTGTGTTTTTAGTAGAGATGGAGTTTCGCCATGTTGGCCAGGCTGATCTCAAACTCCTGGCCTTAAGTGATCTAGCTGGGCCTCTTACAGGGTTGGGATTACAGGCGTGGGCCATCGTGATCGGCTAAAAATAATTTCAATAAAGCAATGCAAACCTTCTTTAATCATTTGATGACACAGATGTTATTGAGTCCTACCCCTGAGGATAGCAGTGACATAGGTGTTTGAGCAGCCCTGATGATTTCACATCTATAGCTTTCATGAGGATTTTCAGGAAATCATCAAATGAGAGCTTACCAAACTCTATAGACTTACATTATCTATACATGGATTGTCTCTTGTTATTTCACATCCCCAAAATGCGTTTGTCAGTATAGTTATATCTACTTATGAACTGATCAATATTTTTCCATTACAATTTTGGCTGTTTTCCCTAAAGGACAAGGACCATGTTCATGCAACACTCATGACCTATTATTAGACTTCAAGGATCTGTATGGTCACAGCTTAGTGTTCTATGAATTTCTGGTGACCTGTACAGAGAAATTCCTCTTTGAGAGTCAGTGGGTATGATTTGAGTGGTGCTTCCTGCAGCTCAGCTGCCAGTTAGGCTACCATGTTGGAGGGTCATGGCGGGTGTGTGTCTGTAAATAATCCAGAGAGTGATATCTGAGGAGCTTTTAGAGCCAACATCTGTCTGTTTTGAGGAGTGCCAGAATGTTCTTTCTTTGTTTTTCTTTTTCCCTGACAACCTCCTTGGTAGTAAGGAGACCATAGGAAACTCTTTGAAAGCTGCGATGCAAGAGAGGGTAACACATAGTTGTTATATGTATCTTTATCTGTGAATTGAGATAAAGAATTAAATAATACATTTAACCAATTTTGGAAAAGACTTGAACTTCATGGTTTCTTGGGTGAGGATTTAAAAAAAAAAAAAGACTTTTGAAACTTTTCAAGCCTAGCGGTAAAAGGGAAGTCAGCTTCATGCTACTATCATATGAGAAAAAACACAAACACATACACATTTCTGGCAACCATCCTAGTCAAAGGCGATGTTTTAAATGAAAGGCACTTCTTTATGCATTTATCTTTACCATAGTATTTTCAAAAGCCTCTCAGGGAGCACTGGGTGATTCCCACTTAACTTATCAGTGTTCTAAATCCTATACTACACAAACTATCCTCTCCTTGTCTCAATAAAAGGCCAAATAAATGAATAAATACATTGCTGTTTTTCATAACTGCACATTTGCTGATGCAATTCTAGGTATAGTTTTAATTGCCAAGTATATACTGACAACCTGCCACCTCCTAGTTTGCCTACCTTTAGAATCACCCTCTCCTACCAAGCCTGTAAAATAACATGAGGTAAATATTTCTGAAATAGTACTTACCTGAATCCATAGCCTTAATTAAATAACTCAGTGACTCCATATTGATCAACGGATCACTTGTATGTCAACTAACTCATTCTTTTACACATTCAGTGCATATTCAACACCTACTACATGACACAGTGCTAGGCACTATGGTGAGTTTGTGTTTGTGTGTGTGTGTATGTGGTGGAGCACAGTCAGAGGGATACACGGGAATCAAGAAATGAAATTAGTATGGTTCCTTCTATCTAGGAGCTTATACTCAAGTAAGGCAGATAAACCATATGCACAAATAGCGACAACACAGAGTATAACTATGCTTCAAGAAAAAAGGTACAATAATATTAATTCTTTAGACTGGCATTTAAAATTCTCCATAATTTGATCCCATCTTTATGTCTGCTTTTGTTGTTGGTAACTTCACCAGTATCTTCCCTTTTTAGGCAATCAAGCTTCTTTAATACAAGCTATGTTAATTCCTGCCACTATGCAATCTATGCTATTTCCCCATTCCTCTCTAGATATTCAGACTGTTATTCATTTTCTCCATGAGGTTTAGATAAAAGTCCAGTCCACATTTATCTTCTATATTCTTGACTCCCAATGGCTTTAATAATGTTTCTGTTAATAGTATATATATATATATATAGTTAATATATATTCTCTGGCCTTGTATCATTTATGTATGTCATGTCTTCTTAGGTAGACTAAGTTTATTTGGGTATGGACCATGGTTTAATCTCCATTTTCACCCTAAGTAGAAGGATACCTAATAACTTATTGGGAGCTAACAGTGCCAGCCACTGTTCTAACTGCCTTACATATATGATCACATTTCTTCCATACAGATCAGAAAAACTAAGTCACACAGATAAAAAGTGATTTGTATAAGGTCATACAAATAATATGAAGTAGAGTCAGATTTTGAACTCAATCTGTTTTCAGAGCCAATGCTCTTAATCATTACATAATGCTGCCTCCTTGACACAAAACTGAACACCAAGAAGGCACTCTAGGCACTCAGTTAAATGCTATGGATTGATGCTAAAATCTAAATGATTTAATACTTTTCACCAGTATTTATGCTACTGTTTACTTGTTTACTAGTTAACTGACTAAGAACAAAATAATTTTTATGCTTTGCATCTTGAATATTCAAGTTTGGTCTATGGTTCTTGGGAAAAAACAAAGTTGATCTCTCAGATTAAGTTTCTTCCTAAAAAAAAGCCAAAGTGTTGAAAAGAAATCAATATGATATTGAAAGGAATTTGGGAGAAAGAAAAGATAGTACATCTTTAGTAGATGAATTATTCTGAAGATGTTGAAGAAACTTGCGCTGATAAAGCTGTAGTAAAAATAAGGAACAAGGTGTTTTCTGCTGACCGAAAATATTCAAGTAGAATATTGGTATTTCTTTTGGTGATGGTATCAAGGGCCATTGATTTATACATTCACAGCCAGGGTCTCCACACAAAAATTCATTTTTTCTTGGTAATAATTGCTAAAATTCACATTTTCATGTGTTTCTGTGTGTGTGTGAGAGTGTATACAGTTTAGCATGATCCATTTTTAACTAAGTCTAAATGAAATGTTCCAGAGGCTTGGGGTAGTTCATATCTAAACCAAAAGTTTTGCTAGAATTCTTACAGGACTTAACCTCTGGACGTTTGGGTTGCTTAATTCTATATTTTTCTTTTAATTTTTAAAAATTTGATTGATACATAATAGATGTACATATGCTAGGGGTACATGTGATAATTTAATACATTCATATAATATGTAAAGATCAAATTAGTGTAACTGGGATATCCATTACCTTAAATAGTTATATTTTATTTATGCTCAAAACATCCAAATTCTTCTCTTTTAGGTATTTTGAAACACACAATAGATTATTATAAACTATAGTCACTCTACTGATCTATCAAACACTAGGTCTTATTTCTTGTATCAAGCTACATTTGTACTCACGGGCTGGTGAATTCTACAAAAGGGTAAAGGGGCTTGCCTGTTGGTCTTTTTATTCATGTCATTTTGGTAAACAATATATAATTATCCATACACACTCCCTCATTTCTTGTTTATATTTGACTTTTGTTATTGTATATACCCCCTTCTTAGTAAAGGGTTTTATGAAAATCCTAATAGCTCCATTAGGCACAAAGTGAATATAGTGTCCCCTTATTGAAAAATAGCAGGCAATGAACACAAGTAAAAGGTAGTTCAGCTTTGATCAAAGTTTATATTTAGATCAGTACTAATTTGGCACTAGGATCATACTGATTTTAATTGCTCCCCTCTCCCCACCAGCCTGCTCTATCTCTGCAAATTTTACCTTTCACATTGAAGGAATTTCTCTCAACTGCTGTTAACCTCACAGTTTTTCCACTAGTTTTTAGTTCTTTTTTTCCATATGGATGATTTTTCTGAAAGGTCTTACGTCCCATTGACCCCACCACAAGTTCGCACAAAATTCTTTAACAAAATCAAAATGTCTCAGGTTTTCTATTTGCATAAGAGATATACTGCCTTACTTTTCCTACACACTTTAGGGCTCCTTGATAGAGTCATATTTTGATGGACCATAGATTTACAAAATCATGAACTATTAGAGTTGAACAAGAATTTAGAAAACCTTAATTTTACAGATATAGAAAGTGAGGCCCAGAAAGGTTAAATTACTCAAGCTCAGAAATTATTCATTTATCTATTTATTTTAATACAGAAAATGAGTGTTTACTGATACTACCCAGAAAATAAGTTTTGGCTTTTTTTTTTTTTTTTAATAACAGCAATGGAATTCCTTGAGCCTCAGATTTATAAAAAGGTTCCCAGAGTCGGGGGAGGGGGGAGGGATAGCATTGGGAGATATACCTAATGCTAGATGACACGTTAGTGGTGCAGCGCACCAGCATGGCACATGTATACATATGTAACTAACCTGCACAATGTGCACATGTACCCTAAAACTTAGAGTATAATAAAAAAAAAAAAAAAAAGGGTTCCCAGAATGAGCAACAGTGGTTTTTCAACACGTTATTTAAAAGAACAACTTAATATTTTCACCTAGGTTAAAACATATGTAATGTATATTATGCTGTCTGAAGAAATTATTTTATTTTCTTGTATAAGGACAGAAAATATAACCTCAATAAGCATCAAGTTAAAACTTAGGGAAGCATGTCAGATTTGAAGTAGCTATGTTTTTATGTTTAAACAGTCCAACATACAGAATTCACATTCTTTTTATTTCATTTAGTTACTTTCATTTAGATTCCTGCATGATACCTAGGTGGTGATGTCACAAATTCATCTCCAATAAGCCTTGATCTTTAATATACCCCAGATGAAGAAGGAAAAATAAATAGCACAATGTTAAGAATTTCTTGTTTTTATATGGGTTTGGCAGTTCCATGAAGCATTATCACAATATTTGATCCTCACAATGATATTTTAAAATCATCATAGGTAATAGTAGCTTCATTCCTCATAGAAATAAGGAACAAAAAAGAAAAATATGTTCAAAGCTAAAGATACAATAATTGTAAATAACATAAAACCAGAACATTTGTATAGCAATGATGGGTTCCAGAAAGTAATATAGCTCAGAGAAAATGCTCATAACAGAAATTCTATTTCTTTGACTTCCAGAACTCTGCCATTTTGTTCCTTTATGTTAAGTTAAAGAAGAAAAACCTCAAGAAGAAAGTAACAAATTAGCCAGGGCAACAGCTCACGCCTGTAATCCCAGAACTTTGGGAGGCTGGAGTGGGCGGATCTCTTGAGGCCAGGAGTTCAAGACCAGCCTGGCCAAAACAGCAAAACCTCTTCTCTACTAAAAATACACAAATTAGCCGGGTACGTTGGTTCACACCTGTAGTCCTAGCTAGTCGGGAGGCTGAGGCACGAGAATAGCTTGAACCCAGGAGGCAGAGGTAGCAGTGAGCAGAGATGGTGCAACTGCACTCCAGCCTTGGCGACAGTGAGACTCTGCCTCAGGGGGAAAAAAAGGTGACAAATTACATTTTTACATAGAACAAAAACAACTACTATGGTGTAATTAACCTTCATTGATTTCTGAGCATTTTCTGCGTAGTCATAAATTACCTAAAAATAACTTTCCTTTTAATGAATCTGTTTTAATTGCAAATTTCTACAAAGCAATGTTTGAAGTTTTTAGTAGCAAAGCACATAAAGAATATACAGATTTTTAAAAAAATCCAGTCCATTGTGCAAAATAAGTTTTAAGAGTTTTTTTTTTCCCTTGGTCTTCCTGAAATATTTTTTTTGAAATAAATCAGGAAAGTTCTCAATATCCAAGAAAAAACTATGTCCCATGGCTCTAATAGTCCTTTTGGTATTTTTCACTTAATGTTTGGTGATACATTATTCAAACACATTGACATAGCAGTTTGCCTTGAAGAACTCTAAACAAAGACTGATATAACTCAAATTAACTAAGCAGAAGTGATATATTATGAAAGATGTGATTTATCTCTCTTTTTATTTATTTTATTTATTTATTTATTTTGAGACGGAGTCTTGCTCTGTTGTCCAGGCTGGAGTGCAGTGGTGCGATCTCAGCTCACTGCAACCTCCGCCTACCAGGTTCAAGTGATTCCCCTGCCTCAGCCTCCTGTGTAGCTGGAACTACAGTCGTGCACCACCACACGCTAATTTTTTGTATTTTAGTAGAGACAGGGTTTCATCATGTTGGTCAGGATGGTCTCAATCTCCTGACCTCGTGATCCGCCCATCTTGGCCTCCCAAAGTGCTGGGATTGCAGGCGCAAGCCCCTGAGCCTGGCCCATTTCTCTTTTGCCTCTGATACATCCCCTCCAGTAATCAGACCTATTAGCTCTACCATAACTTAAAGGGGCATTAATCCATGGTCTTCTCTATATAGATAGGAACCTAATACTTACAGTCTATTTGAAGAGAGGCAAGATGAACATCTTGAAACTCTTGAAGAAAATTACATCATATACTTTGAAACAAAAAGATATGTATTTAATTCCAAGTTCTATCACTTATTTGGGAAAATTTGTTTCTCTCAGCCTTAGATCTTCAGCAAAAAAGGGATACAAAGCCTACCTCCTTGGGTTCCTGTAACTAATGAGCAAATGTACGTGAGGTGGCAACCACAGTGCCTTGCATATAGTAGGACCTCAAAATATGTTAGTGCCACACAAGTGCTAAACTCTATGATATTTATAAGTGCAATATGGTATGGTAATTATAAGTACAATGAGAATTTACAAAAGAGATCAGTATAGGCTAGATAAAGAGACGATATGTAGTGTGAGCTTTAAGAAAGCAAAATGAAATACAGTGAAAGAGCACTAGACTGAGCATCAGGCAACTTGGCCTCTTGTCCATGCACCAGATTCTAAAGCATATTAAATGCAGGAATTTTAACAAGTAAATCAATTTCTCTGGGTCTCACTACAATAAAGGGGCTAAAATCAATAAACTCAAAGGAGTTTTACAATGCCTCTAATCTATGGCCTATAGGCCTTTGGTTAAGATGTGACGAGGCAGCATGCTTTTTTTATTTTCACAGGACAGGCAGTCTTAGGAAAGGCACAGGGAAGTTGATGAACATTGTAGGCATGGAACTGGGAGGTAGCAGATCAGACAACAGAGGAATTCATAAGAGAATAATGTCTAATAAAATAATGTTGTTAGGTCATAGCCAAATTTTCTTTGACCATCAGGGTGAGGAGATTGGACCTGATCAAATAGTAAAAGTCAGTATCTGAGGAATATGTAATGAAAGAGTATTGGGTGAATATTATTCCAGGAGGATGAATTGAAGTGAAGAGAGATTATAGAGGCATAGAGACAGTTGAAAGGCTATGTAACATTGAAATCAAATCTTTATTTTAAAAGATAACCTAATAACCAAATCATCAATGGATATTCAACATATTGTAGTTGCAGAATATGATAATTTATACAGTCTTGTGAAAGCTGTAATTACTTCAGTTTTAAGGAGTTTTATTGACAACGCTAAGGAAGGCATAAAGTTTTACATATGCAGCACTTATTGTATTCATTTTAAACGTGTTGGGCAACTTTAAGGTGTGAATACTACTGTTGTGTGACTTCCTTCAACAAATATTAAGTAATAATAAGCAGAATAATGACTATTAAAGAAAGGGCCACTCATCTTTAAAGTTTCTTGATAAGGACATATTATATGTTAGTAATTATTTTAGGTTAGCAAGGTTTAACAGTGTATCCTTTTCCCAATTCCAGAGTCTGCTAGAAACAAATAAGATGGATGGGGCAATTACTACATGGTAGTTTGGAGGAACATTGATGGCCCCAATAGACAATAAAGACCTGGCCATGTAAAGGGAAGGGAACGTGTGAATGTATATACAATAAATATTTCTCAGGGATCTCTGCAACTTTTCAAAATTATTTGCTCATATCCTCAAAACCTTCTTGGTTGTGCCTTTGTCTTTTTCATCTCAAGGTATTCTTTTCATTAATCAGGGCCAAGGCTTTGTCTGCTACCTGTCTGGAGGTATGACAAGTCAAGATAACAAGTGTGAACAAATAAGGATTGTTCTCAACTTATAAAAGAGCTGCACAACAGAAATTCATTTATAATTCAGTTATTTGTATTAAAAATTATTTTCTTATTAAAATCACTGTAAAAGTCCAGTTGGCTATAGTCTCCAATGTAAACCCAAAGCAGAGGACATTATCTCTGTGGGGTGTGTGCGTGCATGTGTGTGTTTTTATAGGCTTTCTGTTAGAGGGTAAAAAGGAGGTGGTAGGGATATACCAGGAGGCTGTTTCAGAGTCAGCAATGAGGGAGGTCAGTTGGCTCAGAACAGCTTGGTTACTTTCTGAATGATGCAAGAATATTAGGGACACAGAGTGACCTCAGAATGGGAAAGAGATGAGCATTTAGTGAATAAATGAGGGTTTGTTAACATAGAGTGCTTATATTTTTGGTATTTGCAACTTACGAAAGTCCAAGTCCGCAATTGTGCACATAGGTGCATGGATCCATGCTTGTGTGATGAGATGAGGCAGGTAAGGATATGCTAAGTATAATGTAGATGAAAAACAATTCTACTACAAATGGACGTAGACTAGCCAGAACATATTGAGATTTGATAATATAGTAAAAATAAAGATTGCAGCAATTATGTTTATTATTCCACAGTTTCCCTCATTCGCCATATAACATTATTTCCTTTGACTTTGCCTCCAATATACTGCCTTTGTACTGTTACAATCTTATACCCATTCTTTATTTAATTGAGGAACTCTAACACACTGGATCAACAATCTTCATCCAATAAACAGTTCACTTAATAAATCTGGGTATCTTTAGAAGGGGATTGGCTGACATGACTTATGAGAGGCCAAAACAGAAACTTCATACATGCTTGCTTAATAATTTTACACTTATTATATTTGACACCCAATACTTTCAGACACAGAATTTAAAACTTTGAAAAATGTAGAGCACTACTTGTCCCTTTAAGTGTAGAAAATGCAATACATTCCAACACAGCAACCTCAGTTTCTTTCAAACCTGAAAAACATGACAGATTACACAGATCCTGCATCTGTTGAATGCACCATATCCATACTAGTGTCACTGCAGCAAATATTTCTGAAATTTAAAATTTTAAGTAAATTCCCTTTGGGGGAATAAACAGCTTCTTTAGTCAATTATTTGAGATTTATGATGACAGATAATATTAAAATTCTCCTAATTTAGTCTTTAACAATTTTTGGACTCAATTTGGTTTGGTCTGGTTTTCTCTTCCTGCCTGAATATGATGCATCACTAATCCTGTTGCTGTATTTGAAAGGGCTGGGCCAAGGAATCTTGAGCCATCAGGGAAGATATATGATTCTGAAATTCCTGCGGAGAGAAAGTCACTGCCACATATTTTTTACAGTAGGGGATGTAACAAAGATGGTCTTTACTTTGAGCTTGGAACAATTGGTTCTCATTTCGACTGTCTTTGTAGGTTTGCTCAGAAAACTACATATAGTGTAGATGCAGGAAGAAGTCTAGATTCCATTAAAGACATCAGACTTTTATCAGATTAACAATTGTTTTCTCCCTAATTATGCAGAGAACAATTGACAGGTCACATTGTTAGCAGTGGGAAATTTTTGAATTGCTCAATATGTATTTATTAATTACATTCAATTTGAGATATTTGACTAATTTACCCTAAAAGGAGATTCCAACTTAATTTACTGTATTTCAGTTTAACACTTTCAGGACCCTATTTTATCTGACAATGAATTCAGCAATGGAAGACAATGGAAGCACTCTAGTATTATGAAGAAATATGATCAAACCGATATATAAAAGAGTGACTTTATGGAAAGGTCTGGTTCACAGATAGCCCTAGTAAAGTAGTTTAATAATTAACAAACCTTTGGCAAGTACTCTGTATCTTTGGGTAGAAGACGGTGTTGCAGTATCTTAGATTAAAAATTCTTAGAAACCATATTTTCCACTTAAGAAAATGCAGCATACTCCTAAAAAGCTAGGAATGGAAAAATTGTTTATCTGTATGTAAATATATTTAATTAAGAAGCTATTTGGCTGGACGTTGCTTTGATTATCTGGAGTATGTGGGTGCTATATTTAACCCACCTAAAGGTTGAGCATTACTAAGATTTATTTCGATTAATATTAAAATAACTAAACTTATTCATCTATTCCCATGGCTGTATGAGGAGAAAGGAAATTACACACTGGGTAGACCACTTTAAAATGAATATATTCTGACATTAAGTTGATTGTTTTGGTTCACTTATGGTTGGAAAAAAAATTTATTTATTTTAAAGTGAGATTTTCTAACTTTTAAAATTATTTAAGTGTGAAAGCACCCCTGTTCTCTCAATTATAGTTGCTTGTGATTGACATATGGACATGGATATAAGAAAGTAGGAAAATATGGAAATACCAAAGCTCTATGGGAAAGCAATTGTCCATTCATCCAGAAAATGCTTTGCTAGTGAAGGCATATGTAGAGCATTGTTTCTAAGTTATTCATAATGTATTGTGAAGTTCTGTCAATCTCCAATAAAAATCATGAAAGTGGTTGCAGATATTTCTGTTACCTAGTCAAGGTCAAAAGTTGTATGTACCCAGGGCATAGCATTTATTTGACTAGATATTCTATTCAAAATTAATTTTTATTATTCTATTTTGGGGGAATCAATACCTTCTATTTTAAAAATTTGATTGTTTTTCTGGTGAAAGCAGTTTACTTTGCAGGTCATTTTCATCTAAAATCAACATAACATTTTACACACACATAGGAAACATAGTTCTTACATGTTATGATTTGAAATACAAAATGAAAGCTTCATTATTTAAAACTAGTTATCTAAAATTTATCACGTTTATATTTTCATTCAGCCGGAAACATCAACGCAATAAAATAAAACATATTTTAGTTGCTTTTATGTACTCAACACAGGAGCACCCAGATTCATAAAGCAAGTTGTTAGAGACCTACAAAAGACTTAGATTCCCACACAACAATAGTGTAAGACTTCAACACCCCACCGACAGTATTAGACAGATCATCAAGGCAGAAAAGTAACAAAGATACTCAGGACCTGAACTTAACACTTGACTAAATGAATCTAATAGATATCTACAGAACTTTCCATTCATTAACAACAGAATATGCAATCTTCTCCTCACCACATGGCACATACTCTAAAATTGACCACATAATCAGTTGTAAAACAATCTTCAATAAATTTTTTAAAAACCTGAAATGATAACAACACTGCTGGAACAAAGTGCAATAAAAATATATTTCAATATAAAGAAAATTCCTCAAAGCCATAAAATCACATGGAAATTAAACAACCTGCTCCTGAATGACTTTTGGGTAAATGATGAAATTAAGACAAAAGTCAAGAATTTATTTGAAACTAATGAGAACAAAAGAAAACATGTCAGAATTTCTGGGACACAGCTAAGGCAGTGTTAAGAGGGAAACATGAAGCACTAAGCGCCCACATCAGAAAGTAATGATCTCAAATTAACAACTTAACATCATGACCAGAAGAACTAATGAAGCAGGAGCAAACCAATCCCAAAGTCAGCAGAAGACAAGAAACAATAAAAACCAGAGTTGAACTGAAGAAGACTGAGACACAAAAAACATATAACAGATAAATGGATCCAGGAATTGGTTCTTTGGAATAATTAAAATAGATAAACTGCTAGCTAGACTTAATAAAGAAGAAAAGGAGAACCAAATAAACACAATTAGAAATGATGAAGGGAACATTATCACTCATCTCTAAGAAATACAAATAACCATCAGAGACCAGTATAAACATCTCTACGCAGAGAAGCTGGAAAATCTAGAAGAAATTGATAAATTCCTAGATGAATATATTCCCCCAAGACTGAACCAAGAAGAAACTGAATCACTGAACAGACCAAGGATGAGTTCCAAAATTGAATCAGTAATAAATAACCTACCAACCAAAAAAAAAAAAAGCCCAGCACCAGAAAGATTCACCGAAGAATTCTACCAGATGTACAAAGAAGAGTTGGTACCATTCCTACTGAAAATATTCCAAAACATAGAGGAGAAAGGCCTCCTCAACAACCCATTCCATGAGGCCAGTATCATTGATACCAAAACCTGGCAAAGACACAACAACAACAAAATTTAGGCCAACATCCTTGATGAAAATAGATGCAAAAATCCTCAACAAAATACTAGTAAACCAAATCAAGCAGCACATCAAAAAGCTAATCCACCACAGTCAAGTAGGTTTTATCCCTGGGATGCAAGGTTGGGTCAACATATGCAAATCAATAACTGTTATTCACCACATAAACAGAAATAAAACAAGATGATTATCACAATACATGCAGAAAAGGCTTTTGATAAAATTAAACATCCCTTGATGTTAAAAACCTTCAGTAATCTAAGAGTTGAAGGAATATACCTCAAAAAAAATGAGGTCCATCTATGAAAAACCTACAGCCAACATCATACTGAATCAGCAAAAGCTGGAAGCATTCCCATTAAAAATTGGCACAAGACAAGGGTGCCCTCTCTCTCTACTCCTATTCAACATAGTATTGGAAGTTCTGTCCAGAGCAATCAGGCAAGAGAAAGAAATAAAAGGCAACCAAGTAGGAAGGCAGGAAGTCAAATTATCCCTGTTTGCAGATAACACGATTCTATATCTAGAAATCCCCCTAGTCTCTGCCCAAAAGCTCCTTCAGCTGATAAACAAGTTCAGCAAAGTTTCAGGATACAAAATGAACATACAAAAATCAGTAGCATTCCTGTAAACCAACAACATCCAAGCTGAGAGTCAAATCAGAAATGCGATCCCATTCACAACTGCCACAAAGAAATTAAAAAACCTAGGAATACAGCTAACCAGGGAGGCAGAAGATCTTTACAATGAAAATGACAAAACACTGCTCAAAGAAATCAGAGATCACACAAACGGAAAAACATTCCATGCTTATGGATAGGAAGAATCAATATCATTAAAATGGCCATACTGCCTAAAGCAATTTATAATGGTTTAGATGCAATGCTATTTCTATCAAACTATCAATAACATTCTATACAAAACTAGAAAAAAACTATTGTTAAATTCATATGAAACCAGCAAAAAGTTTGAATAGCCAAGGCAATCCTTAGTGAAAAAAACAAAGCTGGATGTATCATGTTACTTGATTTCAAACTATACTACAGGGCTATGGTAACCAAAACAACATGATACTGGTACAAAAACGGAAACATAGACCAAGGAAACAGAATAGAGAGCCAAGAAACAATGCTGCACACATCTACAGCCACCTGATCTTTGACAAAGCTGACAAAAATCAAGCAATGGGGAAATAACCACTTATTCAATAAATGGTGCTGAGATAACTGACTAGCCACATGCAGAAGATTGAAACTGGACTCATTGCTTACACCATATGCAAAAACCAACTTAAGATGGATTAAAGACTTAAATATAAAGCCTAAAATTATAAAACCTCTGGAAGATAACCTAGGAAATGCCATTGTGGACATAGGAACTGACAAAGGTTTTGTGACAAAGATACCAAGAGCAATTGCAACAAATGCAAAAATTGACAAATGAGGTCTAACTAAACTAAATAGCTTTTGCACAGCAAAAGAAACTACCAACACAATAAACAGACAACCTACAGAATGGGAAAAATATTTGCAAACTACACATCTGATAAAGGTCTAATATACAGCATCTATAAGGAACTTAAATTTACATGCAAAAAACAACCTCATTAAAAAATGGGCAAAAGGCATGAACACTCTTCAAAAGAAGACATACAAGTAGCCAATAAGCACATGAAAAAATGTTCAACATCTCTAGTCATTAAAGAAGTGCAAATTAAATCCACAGTGAGATATCGTTTTACACCAGTCAAAGTGGTTACTATTGAAAAATAAAAAAATAACAGATGCTGGTGAGGTTGCAGATAAAAGGAAATGGTTATACACTGCTCTTGGGAGTGTAAGATGGCTAAACCATTGTGAAAATCAAGGTGGTGGTTACTCAAAGACCTAAAAAAAGAATTATCATTTGACCCATCAATCCTCTTACTAGGTATATACTCAAAGGAATATAAATTATTCTACCAGAAAGACACATCAACACATATGTTCACTGCAGCACTATTCACAATAGCAAAGACATGGAGTCAGCCTAAATGACCATCAATGGTAGACTGGATAAAGAAAATGTAGTACATATACACCATGTAATACTATACAATCATAAAAAGAGAATGAGATCATGTCCTGTGCAACAATACGGATGAACCTGGAGACCATTATCCTTAGAAAACTAATGCAGGAACAGAAAAGCAAATACCCTAAGTTCTCACTTACAAGTTGGAGCTAAATGATGAGAACACATGGACACAAAGAGGGGAAAAACAGACACTAGGGCCTAATTGGGGATGGAGGGTCAGAGGAGGAAGAGGATCAGAGAGAAATACCTGTTGGGTGCTATGCTTCATACATGGGTGATAAAATAATCTGTACACCAAACTTCCATGCCATGAGCTTACTTATATAATAACAAACCAGCATATGTATCCATGAACCTAAAATAAATGTAAAATGAAAAGAAATACTTTCATACTACTGCAAAGTTTCATTTGTAAGAAACTACTGGGAAAAACATGTCACTTTTTTCTAATGTTAAGGATTTTATCTGGGCAATATTATATTTATTACTTATAAGCGGCCAACATTACCCTTAAGTTTACAAAAGGAGAAGGTGTAAAACTATACTAGGTAATCACGACTCTTTCTTGGGAGATGAGGTCTCTTAGAAACATCACAAAATTGTTCTCTATTAAAGTAAAAATATTATGGAAATACCAATTTTATACTTTCATTTTGGTTATAAGAATCTGTGTCTCATCTAAATGTATAGATACATTCAATTATATATTATAATAGAAAACAAAGTATTTCACGTCGCACATTTATGCACACAAACATTATAATCCAAATTAAATATGTTTGTTTACCTTGACTAATGAAGAATAAAAAGGCTAAAATTCAATGCATACCATTTTAATTATGCCACAATGAAAACACATTAATAATATTTCATCAAAAAGAATATTTGCTGCTGTCAAAATAGTTATCAAACTTAGCAATCTTAATTTGTGTATGCAATTCAGAGTGCTAGAGAAAAAATTTGATAAAGATGTATTATTCATCAAAAATATAATTTTACTTATTTTCAGGAGAAATAAGATAAAGTTTTAAGTCAAAAGTAGAAAAGATTTGGAGTTCTTTGCTCCTGCCTATTGTGTCATCAAAGTAACTCAAATTCTATGAATTTAAGTGAGAGATTAAAATATCATGGCTATTTCAGAGAGTCTTCTTAATAAAATGATATTTTTTGAGACATGGTTGTTTTTAAATGGCTTGGTCCATGGTATTTAACGCTCATTTGGCTTTATTCTCTCTCTGCACCTAGAAGGAAAGTACTAACACTAGGCCATGTATGGACAAGAGGAAGTAGGTCAATAGATTATGGCTAAGTTTACATTTATGAACTATGCAACCCTTGATAGAGTAGAAAACCAGCCAGCCACAGAGAAACCAAGACCATTTTGCCACTCGCCAGCTGTACAGCAGATAGATATTTCAAATGGAAAACCATGTTGCTGGCTTTAAAGGTCAAAGGAGAAGTAATACTGAATATCCTGCTACCTCTCTTCCATAGCTTATATATCCAAGTGAAAAAGGAAGTTTTAGATTCTGTTCAATGACCTAATACTCTGAATTATAGGAAATGAGAAGAAATTTAAAATCTACACTTATATAAACTTACCTTAAAAACTGATTCACAGCACCTGATGGTATGGCAAACTTCACAACATCTGGTGGTTCAGCTTCTACTATAATATCAACACTAGGGAGTGGAATATTTGGATTGTCACGGAAGTTTAAACTAGCAGGATTTTTTTTTCAGTTGCAAGATTTAATAGAGTGAAAACAGAGCTCCCGTACAAAGGGAGGAGACCCAAAGAGGGTAGCTGTTGCTGGCTTGAATACCTGGGTTTATATCCCGATCATTGTCCCTCCTGCTCTGCTCTCAGGCGATAGATGATTGGCTATTTCTTTACCCCTGTTTTTGCCTACTTAGCATTGTAGTGAGCTCTCTTTACTACCTGATTGGTCGGGTGTGAGCTAAGTTGCAAGCCCCATATTTAAAGGTGGACGTGGTCACCTTCCCAGCTAGGCTTAGGGATTCTTAGTCTGCCTAGGAAATCCAGCTAGTCCTGTCTCTCAGTACCCCCTCTCAACAGGAAAACCCAAGTGCTGTTGGGGAGGTTGGCCGACGACTGCTCTAACTATAAACTAGCAGGATTCTTGATACCAATGGGATTCTGGACCCTAGAGAAATCTGTTAAAAAGTTAGACTACTTGGCATCTAGGACATCTTTGGAGTCAGTGATATGCTTAAAGCTAGCAGAGTCCATGCAGTCAGCAGAGACTTTGAAGTGAGCACCAAATTTGTGGTCATTAAAAATTGTATAATTTCTACCAAGCTTATATGGATCAGAAAATTTAGAGATGGTCAAATTATCAGGAGTGGAAGTATAGTTAGTGCCAACAGCAAAAGTTGGGGGAATTTCTATAAACAATATTAGGAATAGAGAAACTGGAATGGATTTTTAATTCAGGCTCTGGAAAATTAATATTGATGGTAATAGTGGAATTATGAGCTTTATGAGTATTTATGACATATAATTGGGGTTGATGACAAAGTTAGAGCCATCATTGACAAAGTTAGACAATGAAATGAGTAAATCTAAGGACATAGTTTGTGTCTGAGGCACAGTTGACACCTGCAATATAGCTAGGACTAATAGCATGACTACAACCAGTGGTGGTGTTGATGTCAGTTGCATTGACTGCACTAGTTGAAAAGCTAGGGCTGGTGACATAAAACTGTTTCTAGCAATATAGTTTGGGTGAACTACAAAGCTAGAATCCACTGTGTGGGTAAATCCTAGGACATAGTCAAGGTCTGTGTCATAGTTTGGGGCAGCTGCATAGTTGTATCCAGCAGCACTAATGAGTTCTGTACTGTAATTGGGGTCGATATCATTATTAGAACAGATAGCAGTGTTGTGAGTAGTAGTATTATTGAGCCTGGCATTATATTTAGATTCAAGGTCTTTTAGGGGGCCAGGGCTATTGTTGGGGCCAAGGCAATTGTTGTTGAGGCCAGTGCCATTGTTGCTCGGGCTGTGGCTCTTAGGACCCATTTTTAATATTTTTGGAGTCAGGGACACTGTTGTGGAAAATGTCATTGCCTGGCTCAGTGGCATTGCTAGGGCTGTCATCATTGTTGGAATCAGATGTGTGGTCCTGGCCAGTTCTATTTAGGGACCCAGAGGTGTGATTTGGATTAGTGCCATTGTTGGAGTCAGCAGTACTTTCCTTATCAACACTATTGTCTAAGCCAGAAGCATTGTCTGAATTGTTGATGTATTTGTTTTCCTCAGGATCAGTGCTATATTTGGAGTTTGCATCATTGTTAGTGACATATCAAATGTTAGGGTCAGTTTTACTGCTGGGGTCAGTTCCATTATTAGGGTCACTATCACTGTTGGAATTATCACCACTTGCAGAGCCAGCATCACCACTGGGATCAGAACCATTGTTGGTATCAACATAATTTTCAGCATTGCTATCTTTAGGATTAGTGTCATTAGTATCAGACCTATCTTTGGGATCTTTCTTATCTTTGTTGTTGTCTTTATCTTCAGTGTCTGTTTCATCTTCAGCATCTGTCTCATCTTCAGATTCTGTCTTATTCTCATGGTCTAACTAATCTTTGGGAAAAGACTTGTCTTTGGCATTGGTCTTATCTTTGAGATTGCCAGCACCGATCAGTTAAGTCTTATTTTTAGGATTGGCCTCATTTTGGGGTTTGAAAGTTACATTGTACTTTCCGCCACTTTTAAGACCAGAAATGTTGCTGGGGTTGATGACATTGCCTGGGCCAGGGGTACTATGGCAGCTCATGGTATTTTGGGGTTTCATGAAAAAGGTACAGATAATAGTAAAGCCTAAGAGATTTTGGAAAGCTGAGCAACTTTCACAATGTAAATAAGAAGTTGAACCTAAGGAATATTTAGAATCTTCCTGGTGTAGAGGACAGTGGTTGCCCACAGGAGACTTAGGATCCAGGGACCGAGAAAAGGGGCTATTTTGAGAAGTCTTGCAGTGTCTAACAGATTTGGGTTCAGATAATATTTTCAATCTAAGGGAAATTGGAGATGTAAAGGATAGTCAGGGTCTGAATCATCATTAGAATTTATGAGGCATATATGAAAAAGAGAATTACTGATTTCCATCAAACATTTGGGACATATTTGAGCTCCCATGTCCAAAGAATATGTGTTATTTTTATGAGTCTTGGAGTGTACAGCAGACCTAGGGCTTACAGAATTTGGGTGGAATGCCAGAGTTGTAACTCTCAGCAATTAGGAGATGAATAGGATTCATTTGAGACCCAGAACTCTGAAAATTATGTGTATATCTGTAGTCCTTATAGTGGCTCTTATGTAGATAAATTTTGTGGTTTTCATTTATGTGATGCTTGTTATCTATGAAAGTATTTCGGTCTAGGGAAAGGTTGTTGCTGCATTTTTCCTTTAACTTTTGCTGTGATTCTTGTTTGTCTCTGAGAGTTGGAGACACCTCTTTGAATCCCATAATTTTGTAATCACTGAGGTACCTCACAGGTTGAATTATGAAAAATGCTGGAGAGAAACAAGTAAAATATAAGTAAGACTATAATGAAATCTGACTTTGACGCTGACATTACAACATAAATCTGTGCCAAAAAATATTTCCTTCAGTAAGTTATTGCCAGTATTATCTGATATTTCAAGAGGAAGACATGATCCTAAATTTTCTCCTCAAGTAGGTGTGAACTTGAGCTTGCTAAAACATAAAAAAATGAAATGTGTACATTTATCTCATATGTTTATACTCTTCAGATTCACAGATCTTCCTTTTAAGATGAGAACTCACTATATAGGAATTCATTGGAATAACGTGGCCAAAATAAAATGGTTGTTTTACATAGCTTGGTTACTACAGAGCTATATTACTTGTTAATTTTGCCTCTAGTAATACTTACATTTTTTTCTTTCATGGAATATAATCGCTATAATTTATAAAATTTCTGTGTTTGAAGATAATAATATTCTTGGGCTTGATATGTCAAAATTGGAAAACTTTTTGATATTTTATTTAATAGCAAGAATCAATTTCCATAGCTATTAAAAACTTGCTGGCACATGATTCTGGATATTTAGATATGATATTTATCAATATCTTAGCTTTAACAAGGATGCCCACTTTCACCACTTCTACTCAACATTGTACTGGAAGGCCTCGCCAGAAAACTCAGGCAAGAGAAAGAAAAAACTGGGCATCCAAACTAGAAAAGAAATGGTCAAGTAATTGCTGTTCGCTGATGATATGACAGTATACCTACAAACCCTAAACACTCCTCCAAAAGACTCTTACATTTGATAAATGAATTCAGTAAAGTCTCAGGTTACAAAATCAATGTACACAAATCAGTAGCACTGCTCTACACCAACAATGACCAAGCTGGGAATAAATCAAAAGCTCAATCACTTTTACAATAGCTGCAAGAAAATAAAATACCATTTGATCCAGCAATCCCACTACTGGGTAACTACTCAAAGGAGACGTCATTATATCAAAAAGACACCTGCATGCATATGTTTATCATGGCACAACTCACAATTGCAAA
This sequence comes from Homo sapiens, assembly GCF_000001405.40. Lineage (NCBI taxonomy): Eukaryota > Metazoa > Chordata > Mammalia > Primates > Hominidae > Homo > Homo sapiens. The sequence goes on along the minus strand of NC_000023.11, from coordinate 84,758,341 downwards.
TATATGGAATCAATCTAAGTGCTCATTAACTCATTAACTGATGAGTGGATTAAATGTGATATACATACACCATTGAGTACTACTCAGCCATAAAAAGGAATGAAATAATGTATTTTGCAGCAACTTGGATGGAACTGGAGGCCATTATTCTAAATGAAGTAACTAAGAAATATAAAACCAAACATCGTACGTTTTCACTTGTAGGAGCTAAACCATGAGGATGCAAAGGCATAAGAATGATATAATGGATTTTGGAGACTCATGGGGACGGTTGGGAGGGGGTGAGGGAGAAAAGACTACATACTGGGGACAGTGTAAACTGTTCGGGTGACAGATTCACTAAGATCTCAGAAATCGCTACTAGAGAACTTATCCACGTAACCAAAAACGCCTATATACCCAAATCTATTGAAATAAAAATAAAAATTAATTAAAATATACAATGCTTCTATTTTTGCATCCAAAAAAAATCTTTGCCTAACCCAAGGTCACAAAAATTTTTCTGCCCTGTTTTCATCAACAATTTTTTTAGTTTTAGGATTTATTAAATAAATAGTAATGTATTAATATATACTATTTATATATTTATTATCATACTAATTTGTTATTTAGATCTAACTCAGTTATTTTTGTACACAATGCAAGAAATGCATATAATTAAAGTTTCTTCTTTTGTTTGTTTTGTTTTTGTTTTTTCAAAATCTTTATGTTCCTTTATTGGAGCAAGATTCCTGATCAGTATATAGTGATGTATTTACTAAACAGAGAGCTGTGCAGAAATTACATACTATACATCTAGGGCTGACCTGTCCATTAATTCACCTCTGAAAAAGTGGCATTTAATTTCAGCTACTATATTTTACAACATTAAAAAGCTTATGCATTAGGGTGCTTCCCTGCACAATAGCATTGAGCAGATGAAGCTGAGTTCATTATCCCACCCAGATTCACATAGTCATATTTGAGAGCTTTACACCAGAGAGCAGGGACAGTTACTGCCAACAATCACAGACTTCTTACTCTGAGTGCCTATCTTCGTGGCCACATTTTATATAGCAAATGAAGACATCCCAGCAACTGTCCCATGTATAACTTGGCACTAGAGCACCAGGTCTGTTGGATGGTGGTGGCAGGCACTATTATTTTATATCCAGGTAAAAGGCCAATTTTATAAACTGCCACTTGGAGCTAAAAATCAAGGGTACAATATACTCAGAAAGTATTGAGCAATCTGGTATCCCAAATGATGTGAATACTTTCAGAAACCAATGGCAAATTGTACCCACGTTTCCCAGCTATGGAGACATTAACGCATTGATTCAAATCCCATTACTCAATCCACATAGGCCTGAGGTCATCCTGCAAAGTGCATATCAAAAAATACAAAGTTAGGGTGACAAAGTTCGACAGTGATGTTATACAAGTCAAACTTGGAAGGTCATAGTAAGCATACCTATGCTGAAAGAAAAGCATCAAATTCTTGGTGTACACATTTAGTTTTATTGTAACAAAGTAACTTGTACACTTTTAACGTTTAAAACTGAGCATCATCTTTCCTTTCCAGTGAAACAAAAAGAAAATTTAAGAATAAACAGGAACAAAATTACAATAGAGAATGTCAATTCCAAATAAGATCCTACAGGTTATGCTGATTCTCCCATTTAGTAGTAGGGCTCAAGTCATCATTAGGAGAGAATTTATTTTAAAAGTGTCATCTTAAACCGCAAGGATGTCTGTCAAATATCACAATTAAACATGCCAAAGGAGAAGCCATGCTGTCAAAATGCCCACTTAACCTACCCAAACATCTCAAACACACCCTTTGCTGACCTTCCATAACCCCGTTTTTTATAACTTTTTTTTCTTTTTTTAAACAAGAGAAAGTAGACAGACACATGTTGGTAAATGCTAACCGTCCATATTCACATGGAGACACAGTGCACTCTCTGAGCCCAATATACAGAGAAAGGAGGAAAAAAGCTAGAATTTTATGCACTACTACACAGGGGCCTAGCACCCTGCAGCTTCCAGCAGAGTGAAGGGAGCAGGTTTTTCTTTTTTCCCACAGAGCTCGGTGGTGTTGATTCCATACAGTTTTTGTTCAGACAGAAAGGGATAAAAATGAATTTCAAACAGAAAGGGGTAGAGACTCTTTTCCCATTGCATTCTGCACAAGGTATTTTCCCCCAAATAGGTTGAGAAACATAGTGTAAAGAAAAGAGATCTCAAGAAGAGGGCAACTGAGAACAAGAGGGGTGGGGGTGAAAAAAGACTGCAACTTGTTCCCAGGGACTGGAGAAAATTTAGAAAAAGGAAGCTTGAAATCCATCAGTGTTCTATTAGTCATCTTCTCTTTCATCCTCCTCTCCATCCTCCCCTTCATCATCATCTTCATCTTCTTCACTTTCATCCTCATCCCCTTCTTCACTAATATCTTCTAATCCTTCCTCCTCTTCTTCATCATCATCATCTCCTCCTTCCCCTTCTTCATCATCCATATGGGGAACCAAGTAGTACTGTAATGGGTTTGGCCAAATATCGTCTTTGTTGACGTCTAACTCATCAGCACCTGCATCAGAATGGTCAGTAAACCAGGTAAAGAAGCTCTCTGGTTCCTCATGCTGCCTCTTCTTGCTGGCTTTATTCTGTGTTTGACTTGAATATTTCATCAAATCCTTTCCAGATTTCCATTTGATTTCAGTGGACTTTGAAGATGGATCATCATTCTCATACAGATGAAATTATTTGGAGAGAACTTTATTTTCAAAGTAAGGATTTTCATCAAAATAAAAATCTATTCTCTAACCTGATTTAATATTTTCAAATTCTGTCACTTCAACTCTGGTCAAATAATGCAGTGCCTCTTCGTCCTCCTCCCCAAGCAGTGTAGACACTTGTGGATGGTTGACAAATGTTGTTACCCCAAAATTTGGAATTTTGGCTATCAATTCTGACCCCTTCTGAAAAAATGGTTGGCAGATTTTCTTATATTTCTGCTCTACTTTCAAAATCTCCTCACTGGCTTATTCATTAAGTCTGTCTATTTCATTTTGTACTTCATCAATGTGTTCAATGGCTTCTTGCTGTTCTTTTTCTTCCTACTTTGGCAAGCCTGCAGAGGCCAATGTCTCCTCCGGTCCCAGAGCAGGAGGTGGTCTTGATTTCTTCTTTTGAGGTGAGAGTGGAGATTGGCGTTTGGATGCCACGCTGCTAGGGAAGTCCAAGAACCAGACCACAAGTCTCCTCGCTCGTCCAGAAGCAGGCAGAAGACTGTTTGTTTTGTTTTTGTTTTACATTTGGACATCCAATGGTACCAGCATCATTTTTTTTAAACACTTTTTTTTTCACTGAATTGATGTTGCCCCTTGGTAAAAGATGGGTCTTCAAGAGACTGAGAAGATAAGCCACAGACTGAGAGAAAATATTTGCAAAACACACATCTGATGAAGGACTGATATCTAAAATACACAAAGAACTCTTAAAATACAACAGTAATAGAATGAACAATCTGATTAAAAAATGCACTGTGCATGCATTAGAATGGCCAACATCCAAAACATTGACAATGTTAAATGTTGGTAAGAATGTGAAGCAATAGGAACTCTCTTTCATTGCTGTTGGGAATACAAAATGATACAGCCACTTTGAAAGATAGATTGACATTCTTACAAAACTAAATATTCTCTTAATCATATGATCCAGCAATTATGCTCTTTTATGTTTACCCAAATGAACTGAAATATATGGCTACACAAAAATACCTGTACAAAGATGTTTATAGCAGCTTTATTCACAATTGCAAAAACTTGGAAGCACCCAAAATGTCCTTCAGTAGGTGAACGTATAAATAAATTGTGGTACATCTACATAATGCAATATTATTCAGTAATAAAAAGAACTGAGTTATCAAGCCATGAAAAACCATGGCGAAAACTTAAATGCATATTATTAAGTGAAAGAAAGACACCACTTTGGAAAGGCTATTTACTGTATGATTCCAACCACATGACATTCTAGAAAAGGCAAAATTATGGAAACAATGAAAGGATCAGTGGTTGCTAGGAAAAAGAGGAGAGGAAGAGATAAATAGGTAGAACATAGAGGAATTTTAGGGGGAATGAAACTATTCTGTGTGATACTAAAATATATGATATATGCCATTTTTATTTCTAAAAACCTGTAAAGTGTACCTCAATGCAAATTATGGATTTGGGGTTGTAATTATATGTCAGTATAGATTCATTGATTGTAACAAATGTAGCACTCTGGTGCAGGTTGTTGACAGCTGAGGAGGCTGTGCCTGTGTGGTGGCACAGTGTCTGTGGGAACTCTGTTGTGTTTTTTGAGACAGAATCTCACTCTGTTGCCCAGGATGGAATGCAGTAGTGCAATCTTCACTCATTGCAGCCTTGACCTCTTGGGCTCAGGTGATCCTCCCACCTCAGCCTCCCAGTAGCTAGTAATACATATGTGTGCCACCATGCTCCGCTATTTTTTTGTATTTTTTGTAAAGACAGGGTTTTGCAATGTTGCCCAGGCTGGTCTTGACCTCCTGAGCTCAAGCGATCTGCCCATCTAGGCGTCTCAAAGTGCTGGGATTACAGGCATGAGCCACCGCGCCTGGCTGAGTGTTGTTCTTTTTAAAAGTTGTTTTGATTATTTTAAGTCCTTTGCATTCTCATACAAATTTCAGAAATAGTTTGTCAACATCTTGGACAACAACTTATTTTCTTGGATTTTGATCAAAAGTGCATTGAATCTACACATCAGTATGAAGAAAACCTTAACAACAAGACTTCCTGTGCATGAACATGGGCGTTTATTTATTTTGTTCTTGTTTAATGTATCTCAGAAATCTTTTTTAGCTTTTATTTTTCATATCTAGTATGTCTTTTGTTAGATTTATTTCTCACATTTCATGTGTTTTTAATCCTATTGCCAATGATATGTTTTAGAAATTTTAATTTCAAACTGTTTATTGATAGCAGATGGAGATACAATTGATTTTTGTATACCAACTTTGTATCCTGTAATGTTACCAAGCTCACTTAGTTCTGGTAGACTATGTTGGAGATTCCATAAGATTTTCTATGCAGACATTCATGATGTCTGTGAATTAAGATAGTTTCACTACTTTTCTAATATAACCTAGTTTTCTTGCCTTATTATCTTGAATAGAATCTCCAACAAAATATTGATAACAGACTGTGAGAGCAAAATTCTAGCCTTACGTCAGATCTTAGGGGGAAAGCATTCAGTCTTTTACCATTAAGTATAATCTTAGTGCTAGTTTGTGTGTGTGTGTGTGTGTTAGCTCATTCTTAATTTGTTGAGCATTTTTTTTGAGAATAGATTTTGGATATTGTACAGTGCTTCATTTGTCTTTATTGAGATAATGACTTAGTCTTTCTTTTTGTCTTTGTTAGTACAATGAATTACATTTCATTGAATTAGGAATAATCAGGTTATCTATTTCTTCTTGAGTGATTTTCTTGAAGTTTATCTTTCAAGAAATTTTTCCTTTTCATGTAAGTCATCAAACATTTCTTTTTAATATCTAATAGAGCCTGCAGTGATGCCATGCCTCTTCTTGCTAGTATTGGTAATATGGGGCCTTCTATCTTTTCTATCAATGATATTGATCTTCTTGAAGAACCACTTTGTTTCCATTGATTTTGTCTATTGTTTTTATGTTATCTATTTTATTAATTTCTATTCTCTAGTTTCTTAATATGGAAGCAAAGGACAATTATTTGAGGCCTTTCTTCTGTTCCAATATATGTGTTTGGTGCTATAAATTTTCCCCTACATACTGCTTTAGCATAATTTGACACATTTTGATCAGTTGTATTTCCATTTTAATGCAGCCCAAATGCTTTCTAATTCCCCAGAGGGTTTTAATTGACCTGTGTGTTACTTAGAAGTATGTTATTTAGTTTCTGAACAGCTATGGGTATTTTTTGTTTCCAGAAATCTTACTGTTACTGTTTTCTAATTTAATCCCAGTCTGGTCAGAGAACATACTTTATATGACTTGAATCCTCTTAAATTTATTGAGAAATGTCTTATGGCCTAGAATATGGGGTATCTTGGTAAATTTTCTATGTGTACTAGACAGGAATATGTATTCTGCTGTCCTTGAGTAAAGTGTTCTACAAATGTCAATTGGTCAAATTGTTTGATATCTCTTTTGCCAGCCCAGATGTGCTGCTAAAGTTTCAGTTGGTTTATCTTTATTCTGGAAATATCTACTATTTTGCTGGGTTTACTATTTGTGGTAATTTCAAAGGTATGTCCACAAATTATTGATACTCCTCCTTTTAAAGGGTGCAACTTAATTTCCTCCTCTTGAGAGCGTCTTGGAATTAGTGACTAGTTTCTAGTGACTAAATTGTGGCAGAAATGATGGTATGCCCCACCTAGATTGGGTTACAAAAAGAGTGCAGTTTCTTTCTTGAATGTACTGTCTCTCACTCTCTCTTAAATCATGTACTCTTGTGGAATCTAGCTACTATGTTGTAAAACAACCTCAGGGAGAGGGAAATCAGCTGTCATGTGGTGAAATCATTCAGGCCAACTACCAAAAGGCCCAACATGAGTAAACATGGAAACATACCCTCCTCCATTCAACCCCAACTGACAGTTTGACTGCAACCTCATGAGAGGCCCTGGAGCCAGAACCACCCTAAGAAGCTACCATGATCCACAGAAATTATGAGGTAGTAAATCTTTATTTTTTTAAGCCACTAAGTTTGGAGTAATTTGTTATATGGCAATGGATAATTAATACACTCCTTTATCCACTATGCCTTTAGAGATTACATTGCTTGGGGGTCTTGCCTTACCTTGGAAGGAGTTTTCTCTCATTTGATATTACTTCATACGGATTTCATTGCATTGTCAATTCATTGATTTTAAAAAATGCATTTATGATGCTATCTTATTGTTAAGGTGGAATACAACAAGGGATGTAAGGAATAAAAATTGACCTGGGAATTCTCTAGTAACCTTTTATTTCCTAACTGTAAGCAGAATTTTCTTTGCCTCATGTTTGAATAACTTCAATTTTTCTGAATGAGTCCTTAACAGGCAACTACTCTGGAAGAAGATAAAGGCTAAAAGCCACAGTAGTTTTCCACGTTTCTTTGTTTATATCTGAGATCTGGCACTGATAGACCCCTTCACTGTTTTTATTCTTCCCTGTTATAACACCATGGTATCACAACACAGCTGGTGAAGACTCCTCTAATACAGGGCAATTTTGACTACACATCTTTACAGGCTTTATCTCCTAGTATCACAGAATATGTAGTTTGTGGTGTTTTCCCCTTTTTCTATACATAACTAAACTCTGTATGGTTTTGAGGAGTAGAAGTGGAAATATTTAGAATCAATTTTCCACCGCACTCTACCAGATTCTAAAGCTCACTACAATCAAACATTTGTCAACATGATACTATTTAATTTTTTTAAATCACCAGTCAACTTAATATTACTAAATCTAAGGCTATTTCTTATCCTTTATCTTCCTTGACCTATCATTAGCACTTAATACAGTTGATTACACTTCCCTACACTTTATTTGTTAGCTTTGACACCACATGAACTCTCATGATTTTTTCCTACTATCTCACTGGCTACTCCTTCTCAGTCTTGTTTGCTGGTTCTTCCTCATCTCTCTCACATCTTATTATTGGATTGCCCCATAAATCAGTCCTTAGAATTCTCTTTTCTATAATAAAGCTTTTGATGATCTTATTCAGAGATACCTACATATCAGTCAATCTATGTATCTATCAATTACCTATCTATCTATCTATCTATTTATCTAATTTACAATTTCTTAAATGTGCTTTTGCAGCTCTGTCTGCTTTGATGAACTTTAGAGCTGTATGAATTACTGCCCACTTGATACTTCTTAGCTTTTCAGTTGATACCTAAATATTAATATGTCCAAATCTGAACTCCCAGTTTCCCCCTGATCTTAAACTTGCTTTTCAGTCTTTCCCATTAAATTAAATGGCAAATGCTTCCTTATGTAGTTGACTAGGACCAAACACTTGATATCCTGAGTCCTCTCTTTTCTTTTTTCTTACATCCAAATCTCAGAAAATCCGGTTGCTTCTACCTTTAAAAACATATGACCACTTCTGATCACTTCACAAAAATCTGACCACTTTTTACCACCTTCACTGCTACATGTTGAATACAAGCCCTTACCGTTTCTCACCTGGATTATTGAAATAGCCTTCCAAATAGTCTACTTGCTGCTACCCTTATCCCCTTACAGTCTATTCTCAAAACGAATCCAGAGAGATTCTATTAAAATGTATGTGAAATTATGTCATAACTCTGTCAGAACCTTCCGATCATTTGTATCTCTGAGTAAAAGCCAAAGAATGTTATAATAGGCCACAAGGCACTACATAATCTGAATCTCTATTAATTTACTAGCTTTATCTCCAATAATTTTCCTCTCATTTTCTCACATTAGTGTAATCACCCAATGGGTTCACAGTGCCCGCTGACTAGACAGAGCTGATTTATCAAGACAGGGAAATTGCAATGGAGAAAGAGTAATTTATGCAGAGCCAGCTGTGTGGGAGACCGGAGTTTTATTATGCAAATCACTCTCCTTGAGAATTTGGAGACCAGAGTTTTTAAAGATAATTTGAAGGGTAGGGGCTTGGGCAGTGCGGAATATTGAGGAGATCGAATCATAGGGGGTCGAAGTGAGTTTTTCTTCTGTTCCTGGGTGGGATGGAAGAACTGGTTGAGCCAGATTACTGATCTGGGTGGTGTCAGTAGATCCATTGAGTGCAGGGTCTGTAAAATATCTCAAGCACTGATCTGAGGTTTTACAATAGTGTTGTTATTCCCAGGAGCAATTTGGGAAGGTTCAGACTCTTGAAGTCAGACGCTGCATGACTCCTAAACCATAATTTCTAATCTTGTAGTTAACTTGTTAGTCCTGCCAAGGCAAACTGGTCCTGGGCAAGAAGGGTGTCTTTTCAGAAAAGGGCTATTATAAATTTTATTTCAGAGTCAAACCATGAAATGAATTCCTTCCCAAAGTTAGTTTGGCCTATGCCCAGGAATGAACAAGGACAGCTTAAAGGTTGGAAGCAAGGTGGAGTCAGTCAGGTGTGATCTCATTCACTATCATAATTTCCTGTTATAATTTTTGCAAAGGCGGTTTTATTACTAGCCTTTGACATTTTGCTCCCTTGGCCTAGAGTGCCCTTACCCCAGACATCTGCATGGCTAGCTTCTTCATTTATTTAAGTATTTCCTCAGAGGTGGCTGGCAAGATGGCCAAATAGGAACAGATCCAGTCTGCAGCTCCCAGTGAGATCAGTGCAGAAGACGGGTGATTTCTGCATTTCCTTTGAGGTACCCAGCTCATCTCATTGGGGCTGGTTAGACAGTGGGTCAGTTAACATAGCAGGCCTGAGGCTGCTATCCTTAGAAAAGACTGTTGCAAGGTTGGTCCTTGGCTGGATATCTGGCTCCACAGTATCTAGGCTTTGCTGCTGCTGAAAGAAAGCCACTACCTTTTTTTTTTATTATTATTTATTTCTGAATTTACAGATCTTTATTGCCTGGACCTGACTGTAAGATGAAATATCACTATGTCTGCTGTTAGCTGTTTCAATCCCAGAACTAGCTGTGCGAAACTAAAATCTGGTGAAATCTCTCTACTCAATGGAAATAACTCAGACTCTGGGACTGTTTCAGATGCACTGGTTTGTGCAGTCACAAACTATGAAAACATCATGGATGATGGCTCAACTGTTTGGGTCACACACCAATGCCCACAGGAAAGGGATTTTCCTTTAATGAGTTCATCTCAAAACAAGATGCTGATAACCTCTATATTTCCATTACAGAGACTAATTACATTCTTAGCTTGTGATTCTTTGTAAGTTGGAGGAGGGAACGCTACAAGAAGGATGACTGCTCCATCCACCCCTGACAGATCTGACTCTGGAACCCTCTGGGGGATGTCTCACTGCCACTGACTTGTGTTTATCTTTTTAGAATAGTTGTGTTGCAGAACTTTCTCCTTAGTTCAGCTAAAACCGGGTTCTTGTCACACGACCAGGAAAGATTAAGTTTGTGGACACATAGAAGAGTGAGGAGTGAAATTTATTGGGTGAAAAGAAAAAAGGAAAAACAACTTTCAGCAAAGCAAATGGGAGTCTTGCCAACAGGCTCCCACCTCACAGATTGAACACCAGACCACCACACAGGAACTGAAGAGGTCAGCTTCCTACCCTCAGCACAAGGCATGAACTTCCCATGTGGCCACCCCCTTCCCCAAGTGCACAAGTGGGTATTATTCAGAGAGAATTAGTCAGGAAAGGGTGGGCTTCATCTGGGACCAGGAGTCTGGTTTTTCAGCCTTCAGGCTTTTTTAAGCTTGAAGGCAGGGTTTTCCTGGGAACCCTTGACTGTCTCCTGTCTCTATCATTCCCCCCTCTAAAGAAGTACATCTAACTGCAGTTAGAATAAGGATAAAGATAAGGACAAAGACTAATCGTAACTGCTTCCTGCAGACAGGGGGCACCGTTTTGGGAAAATGGCAGTAAGATCTCCCTCAGAAGTCTATCTAAGGGCTCCTGGTAAAAGGGGCCATTGTCTGAGTCTTTGGCTGCATGATCACTTGGAATTTCACGGCCTGAAGGCGAGACAAGACAAACCAAGTTATTAGAAAACATGTATTAACACAAAACAAGGTTGGGGGTGGTTAGGACAGCTCAAAAATCTCAAGACCTTTTATCAGTTTGCACGGGGAGAGAAAGGCCAAAAGCCCAACTGGTAAAACAAAAAAACAAAAAAACACACTTTTACCCTTTTTTGCTGGCGTGTCAATCTTCTGTATTCCCATCCCCTCAGCCCAATTCTGAGTCAACCAGTGTAAGATTTTGGAAATTAACTCTTTCCAGTTTGGAGGATGCATCTGAGGAGTGTCCCATAGTATGGAGACACAATTACCTATCAGTGAAGAGAGGACAGAGGAGGAAAAAAAAAAAAGAAGACTTTTTTTCAAAGGAGTCTCAGGGGTTCAGGATGCATTAAAAAAGGGCACAGACTGAAGATAAATGGCTATTCATCTAGAAAGAGGTGAGTAGGCATCCCTGGTTCCTTTCTCTTTCTAGCAAATACCCTGAGTACATGAGGGAGGGAAAGTGAGGCATTCCTTTTTCTTTCCTCCGTCCTTGTATCCCTGAGTCCCAGTGACTGTGCCACCCATGGGTGTGAAAGTGGCTTTCACCCAAGTTAATGGGGGGCCTTGGGGGTGGGAGAACCCACTTTTACCCACATACACCCTATCTCTCCTGATGTCAGTAGCCTTTGAATTCCCTAGACCTCATTTATGCCATGGATGCTAGCGTGACCTTTATCCTTGAAATGGGAAGTGTGGCTTAATTGGAAGGAATCAGTCATGCTCACCTATGCTTTGCCTTTTAACTTCCATTATCATCTGCCTCTGGATCTGTTAAATATTTTAGAGGTTTAAAACATGATGTTATGAAATAGAATTTCAGATTACCATAAGTTATTTATTTTGCCAAAATGATGACTCAGAATTTTAAAAAAGCAAAAGCCTTTTATAACCCTATACAAATTTTGCTAAAGAGCAGAGTAGTGTCTTAAACATACTTTGTTGTGCTTTTATTTCAATGCTCAATTTACAGAAAACCATATAATACCCTTTTAAATTTAGTCAATATGTTCACACATGGAATTTCTTTTGCAAGATTAATTTTTTTACAATTCTTCCACAACTCGTTTAAACCTTCAGCTTTTTCTTATCTAATTCAAAATAATCTTTTAACCCTAGGCAAGAATTTACATTTCAACACCTTCTTATAATCTTTTACTAAAAATACATCTTACTGTTCTCACACACCTTGCATGTAAATCTATTTCCAGTAGTTTCAATTACATCTTATAATGGTAACTCCTAGCAAATTTTAACTTTAATGTAAAACCTGGTAAATTGGTTTAATTATGTGCTAGGTGCAGCAAAGGTTTAACTCCTTCCTGCATAATTAAGGATGTGGTTAATTTCATATATTTCCAGGCTTTACCAATTGTGAAGCCAGCAAGTTAAAACATTATCAAAAACTGAAAAGGCAGTTTATAACCTTAAAACATTTAGTAAACCTAGTGTCTGATCTGCATAATTTAGTTCACCTATTTACATTTTGACAACAACTGTATTTCACCAATAATCTTTAAGGTTTTTTTATTTCACAAAGATTAAAGTCACATGAACTAAAAGGTACCACAGCTTTTATCTCCCCTTTAAAAAATATTTGATTCAAGCGCTTGTCTTTTAGACCAATTAATTAGAGCTCTTTTTTTTTTATAGACATCACACAATACATACATAACTACACAGACAGGCAGGAGAAAACACAGCAGCCATAAGATTTTTCATTTGCCAATCTCCTAAGAAGTGGATTATTGGCCACTCGTGCATGCATTAAGAGTGGCAAGACAAAATAGAGAAAAGAGAATTCAGTCAACTAAGAAAAAAACACTTTTTCCAGTAAAAGAAGATACAAGTGGCCAGTTGCTGTGGTTCGAGCCTGTAATCCCAGCACTTTGGGAGGCCAAGCGGGCAGATCACAAGGTCAAGAGATTGAGACCATCCTGGCCAACATGGTGAAACCCTGTCTCTAGTAAAAATACAAAAATTAGCTGGGCATGGTGGTGTGTGCCTGTAGTCCCAGCTATTCGGGAGGGTGAGGCAGGAGAATCGCTTGAACCTGGGAGGCGGAGGCTACAGGGAGCCGAGATCAGGCCACTGCACTCCAGCCTGGCAACAGAGCAAGACTCCGTCTAAAAAAAAAATATATATATATATATAAGAAAAGAAAAACATAAAGGCCTTTTAAATGTACCTATAACTTGGGTATCCACTATCCACTTGCAATTAAGCTGAGTGATCTTTAAGAAAATCCTTTTAACTTCTTTATTACCTGACTTTAGCCATGCCAAGTGGTCAGTATTTCTGGCTTTCAAACTTCACTAAAGGTAACTTCATAGGTGAAACCAACAAGCCTCAATTAAGATTATGATTTAACTGCCATTGTATGAGGTATTTTCAGAGGGGTTAAGCAGTTCTTACAAAATTTAGAAGCTTTAAAAATAACCCAGAGAAAGGAAGATTTAAGGAAAAAAAAAAGCTAGAAGTTGTTCATGGAGAGGAAGAGTGTAAGGTCAGCTGAGAGAAAGGATGAGAGAGACCCAAGGTCAGGCGAGGAAGTTTATTAACCTGACGGCTGCTCCATCACAGACAGAGGAGGCAGCCTTAAGCTTACAAAATGAGGCGTTTATATGTGGTAAGAAAGACCCTGGGGTTGTTTGCTGGTTAATTTTGCCACATATTACTTTGTGACGTTTATTACAGGAGAGTGTCCGTAAAGTTTATGTTTCCCATGACCTCCTCCTGTGCGGTCCAGATGGTTTGTAATTGGGGTTTGTTTATTGCAGCAAGGTCTGATAAGTGAAATCTGTTGGCTTCACCATGGTGCCCAGATAAGGGCTTAGAAATGTAAAGAGGCTTGGGGAAGGGTGGGCATGGAGAAGAGTTTCAATGCCTTAGGGGGAGGGGTGGGAAGCACCAAGAAGCTTTCTTGGGGGCAGTTTGTCCCCAACATTCAAACCTCTTAATAGGTAATAGAAGAGGGGCTCCATTGTCGTCTGGCTGCTTCTTGCTGGGAAGGGGCAACGGTTGTGGGGGAAGGCTAGACAGCAGGGACTGCCGTTTTTGGAGCCGTTGGTATTCCTGGAGCAGCATCATATCTTGTATTGTCCCGTGGATGAAGGCTCTGATAAGGTCCTGTAAAAACTGGGTGAGAAGGCCTAGGAGACAAGGGCCAAATGCTAGAAAAAGAAGAATGGTTACAGCCGGGCCTAGGAGGGGCTTTAGGCATGGAAACCAGGTACTAAAGGACCAGGAGGGCCACGCTGGCCATCAGGGGACATTTTCTTTAATTTTTTGTGCTCGGTCCTTTAGTCTTTTTACAGTATCTTGTATTACGCCAGATTGGTTAAGATAAAAGCAATACTGTTCATCTAGAAAAAGGCAGAGTTCTCCTTTTTTGGCTGTGAATAGGTCTAAGCCTCTGCAGTTTTGAAGAACTACTGCTGCTAAGAATTTATTTGTGATTGGAGAGTTGTAATGGATTTGGCTATCTCTTCCAAGCTATTCGTGAAGTCTTTGGAGAGGGATTGGTAATAGGAAACGGAGGTGGTTAATCCCACAATCCCAGTTCCAACTCCTGTAGTTATTCTGAGGGCTACTAACAGAGGTATGAGTTGTATAGTATGGTGGTGTCAGATAGGGATATTAACTGGGATTAGTAGGGGCTGGTCTCCTGGGGCAACAGTGATTTTTGGACTGAGGAAAAGCAGGGTGCAGGTGCCTGTCCAGTTAGAGGGGAGGGAAATATAAGTTGAGGTATACATAGGAAAAGTATGCCTTGGCTTGGTAGACAGAACTGGTTGTGTATGCTAAAAAGATGTACTATTTTGTTATTCTCAAGCATCCATACTCTTAGGGTCCCAGCTAGGGCTGCTGTTATAAGTGGTTGTTAAAGGGTGTTTGGTTTAAGCTGGGAGGCTTTTTTTTTTTTTTTTTTTTTTTCCCAGTGTAAGAGGAAGCGTTTTCTGTTTACTAAGATTCATGTGGGAGTGTTGTTGGATGTTGGGATGAGACCGTCATGGGTGGTGTGTATAGGGATGGTGTATGGAGAGGGGAGCCAAGAGAAGAGGGATAAATAGGGGAGGTGTCAGCCATTACAGTACTCTGAATTTTTGTTAAGGAGGTGGGAGGTGTCAAGGGCCTTTATGTGGTTTTTGGAGGGCCTGGTCTGACTGTTTGTGGAGGAGATGGCAGATGGGGGAAAGTGTTTGGAGGTATTCCCCTGATTGAGAATTAGAAGGAGGCCTATTTTGTAAGAGGAAAGGGCGTCTATACATTAATTTAAATGGGCTGAGGAAAGAGAGTGCCTTTGGGCTGGCTCTGATGCAGGCTAGAGCTACGGGTAGGAGGAAAGTCCAGGGCCTCTGGAGTTCTAGAGTGAGTTTGGTCAACTGAGTTTTAAGGATTCCATTTGCCCTATTGACTTTTCCTGATGATTGGGGTCGATATGGGATATGAAGGTGTCACTGGACGCCGAGGGACTGGGAGACCTGTTGGGTGATTTGGGAGATAAACCCAGGGCCATTGTCTGATCGAATGGAGTGAGGGAGACTAAACCTAGGGATGATTTTTGTGATAAGGATCTGGGATACTACTGTGGCTTTTTTTGAAGAGGTAGGAAATACCTCCACCCACCCAGAGAAGGTGTTTGTAAGAGTGAGAAGGAATTTTGTTTTTTTGACAGGAGGCATGTGGCTGAAGTATATTTGCCACTCTTCTCCTGGGAGTGCTCCTCTTAGCTGGTGTGTAGGAATAGATGGGGAGTGGAGGGCTCTTTGAAAGGAGGTGACAGAGTATATATGACAGTTTGAAGTTATGTTTTTTAGTGAGGTGAATAGGTGAGGGGAGAAGAAATATGGGCAGAAGAGGAGATACAGGGGACATGCACCAGCACGGAAGGATTGGTGGAGAGATGTCAGGATTTTGTCGGTTTGGAGCTGGGGAAGGACTAGCTTCTGGTCCTTAACTATCCTGTCCCCCTGGAGGAAGGTTCCTTGTTGTAGTAATAAAGCCTTTTCAGTGGGAGAGTATTGAGCTTGGATTGCAGGGGTAATGAGGAGGAGGGAGGCAGGAGTGGAAGAAAGGGAGGCCTTTTTTGCTGCCTCATTGGCCTTTCTGTTCCCTCTTCAGATTCCCTTTCTGTTCCCTCCTGAGATTCTGTTCTCTGCTGCCTTGTTGGCCTTTCTGTTCCCTCTTGAGATTAATCTGTTCCCTCAAAGGCCTTTCTGTCTCTGTTTGATGTCCCCGACAGTGTATAACTCCTGCCTCAGTTGGGAGATGTGCAGCCTGAAGGAGTTGGTAAATAAGGGGCCGTTAGTGATAGGCGTCCCTTTGGCAGTGAGGAATCCCCTCTCTTGCCAGATGATGGTGTGAGAATGAAGAATGTGATATGCATATTTGGAGTCTGTGTAAATGTTGATCCATTTGCCTTTAGAAAGGGTTAGGACTCTGGTGAGAGCTATGAGTTCTGCTTTTTGAGAGGAGGTTCCTGGAGGTAGGGGCTTAGCTTCAATTACTTGGTCAAGGGAAACAACCTCTTACCTAGCAATTTTGGGAGAGCCAGTGGGCCCAGAAGAGGAGGCATCTATAAATAGTTGGTCATTGGGGTCGGTGAGAGGCTCAGAGGAAATGCTTGGAAAGTGTGGCTGCAGGTGATCTAGGATGTCAGTGCAAGAATGAGTAGGAGGGGAAGGGGATACGGGGAGTAATGATGCTGGCTTGAGGGGAGCACTTTTGGCAATACTGAATTCGGGATTTTCGATAAAGAGGGCATGGAATGATCGAATCCGGTAAGGAGGAAGGGAGCCTAATGCTCAGGAGAAGAGGAAATCCTGTAGATTATGAGGACTGTAGACAGTGTTATTTTGACTGAATGTTAGTTTCCTGGTTATTTTTGGACCTAAAGTGGCTGCTGTTGCTAGCACTCTAAGACAGGTTGGCCATCCTCTGACTGTGTTGTCTAATTGTTTAGAGAGGTAGGCTACAGGGGCAAAGGAAGGAGGGTCTTCTTTCTGCTGCCCTAAGATACTGAGGGCTATTCCTTGGCTTTCGGCAGTATAGAGAATGAAAGGTTGGGAGATACTAGGTAAGGACAGAGCTGGTGTAGTGACAAGAGCAGTTTGGAGTTCACGGAGCTGGGGAGTATGTTATGTGAGGAGTTTGGGGATTAACTGAGAGGGCCTTTTGCCACTTCATAGAGGGGGTGAGCTAGGAGGGCAAAGTTGGGAATCTATATTCTAAAGAAGCCTGCTAGTCCTAGGAAGGAAAGGACTTCGCTGTTGGAGGAGGGCAGGGCAGATTATTTATCTATTAGTGCCACTTGGGTTTGGGTCATAGCCCGGGCCCCAGGAGAAAGTTGAATTCCTAAGTAGGTCACCATGGAGGTGGAGAGTAGTGTGGATTTTTGAAAGGATGTTTCTGCCTAGGAGTAGAGTTGGACATGAGGGCAGGACTAAGAAAGAGTGAGTGAAGGAAAAGGTGTGCAGGGAACAGAAGAGTGGAGGGGTGGCTCGGGGTTTGGAGACTTGCCCATCAATTCCTACAACAGAGACCTGGGAGGACTTGGTGGGTCCTGAAAAATTAGGTAAAGCAGAGTAGGTTGTCCCAGTATTGAAAAAAAAAAACATACTGGCCTACCTGCCACCATCAGGGTTACCCTTGGCTCGGATGAAGAGATGGTAGTTGCCAGGGCGTCCGTTCCAGGGCACCATCAGTCTTCAGTGGCAAGGCCGATGAGATCTGAGTAGGAGGTTTTGGCCAGTTCAGGAAGGGATGGGGGCAGTCCTTGTGGGGGCCACTCACAGTCTGACTTCCAGTGGCGTCCTCCGCAGAGGGGCACAGCCTGGTGGGCTTATCTGGGTTAGGGCATTGTCTGGACTAGTGGCCTTCACTGCCGCACTTGAAACAGGCACCAGGTGGAGGTGGATTGCTAGGAGGCTTCCATGTGGAGCTGCGCCCTGTTGCCTGCAGGGCCCCTGATGGCAGAGGCAAGCGTTTGAAACTCTGCCTGTTTTTGCCTTTCTTTCCTCATCACGATTGTTAAAAGACTTTGAAGGCTAAATTAAGAAGGTCTCGTTGTGGGGTTTGAGGGCTGTCGTCAAGCTTCTGAAGCTTGTGCCGAATATTGGGTGTGGATTGGGAGATAAAATGGGTATTAAGAACAATAGTTCCTTCCTGGGAGGCAGGGTCAATGTGGGTATATTTTTGGAAAGCCTCTGTAAGGCAGAAAAGGAATTGAGCAAGATTTTCATCTGGTTTTGGGAAATTTCTTTAAGATTTTCAAAATTTACAGCCTTATGGGCAGCTTTGTTAATGCCTGCAGTGACGCAAGTAATTATATGGTTATGGGATGCTTGGCTGGAGTTTGTGGGTTGGTACTCCCAGGAAGGCTTTTCCCAGGTAACAGCAGCGGCTTCTACAGGCTTAGTAGGATCTTGCCAATGAAGATCATCAGCTTGTGCCTGTGCTGTGAGCCACACTCTTTTCTTCTCTTCTGGAAGGAGGGTATAAAAGAGGATAATGTAGAGATCATGCCAAGTGAGTTCATTAGATTGGGTAAGATATTTAAATTCTTTGATATAAGTATCGGGATCAGAGGAGAAGGATCTGAGACATTTCTCAATTTGGGAGAGATCGGAGAGGGAAAAAGGGACATGGACATGGATGATCCCCTCGACTCCTGCTACTTCCTGGAGAGGAAGCAAGGGAGCTGGTTGCTGAGCATCTTGGGCCAGAGAGGAGGTGAGGGGTGGAGAGAGAGAGGACTCAGAGTCAGAAGCAGGGTGGTTGGAGAGAGGAGGGGAGAGAGGTAGAGCTGGAGTGGGGACATACGGTGGAGGATCATGATGCTCTGGTGGAGGATCATGATGCTTTCAGGGAAGGGGAAAATTGGCAGGGTCGAAGGAAGAGCAGTCTTCAGCTGGGGCTGTGGGGAGGGGGGCAGGAGGCAAGTCAGGTTTGGAGTGGGTGAAGAGGATTTGGAAAGTAGAACAGGACTGACAGAGGGAAGAGTGATTACAGAGAGTGAAGAAAGCCTGAACATAAGGAATCTCAGACCATTTCCCATTTCGATGGCAAAAGTTGTTTGTCTTTAAGTACATTGAAAAAGATAAACCTCTTAGAATGGATTTCTGAATGGAGGCTGAGAGCATGGAGATTGCGGAGGAGACACCCAGGGGGGTGGTCTTGGAAGGGGTAGATTGAGAGGCTCCTATAGTGAATGGAGGAGGGGAGGGTAGGGGAAGAAGAGACTGTTGATGACAAGGACGGTGGGAGAGGGCGTCCCCTTTCCCATGGAACTTCTCCAGAATAAAGGAGGTAACCACCGAGTCAGGCATCCCTGAAATGGAGGAACTGGAGGCTCAGAGATGGGAGGAAGCCCTTGGCCCAGCGCTGGGTCTTTTGGAAGTGGAGAGATGGATGGTCAAGGGTTCTGGGGAATGGCAACAGTCTCTTTTCACTCACCCTGGTGGAGGCTTTGATGGTGGATGAGGTTGCCAGCAATGGGAGAGTCTAGGAGATTCTCTGGGTCTTTGGCAGGTTTGGGAAAGAGGAGATTGGCCGGGAGAGGGGTGATAGGGGAGGGAGGGGAAGAGAGAGAGAGAGAGAGAGAGAGAGAGAGAGTGAGTCCCAGCCAGAATCTATTGCCTTCCCGGGTTTCGGCACCAGAATATAAGGTCAGCCGAGAGAAAGGATGAGAGAGGGACCCAAGGTCAGGCGAGGAAGTTTATTAACCTGACAGCTGCTCCATCACAGAGGAGGCAGCTCTGAGCATACAAAATGAGGGGTTTACATGAGGGAAGAAAGACCCTGGGATTGTTTGCTGGTTAATTTTGCCACATATTACCTTGTGACATTTATTACAGAAGGGTGTAGGTAAAGTTTGTTTATGTTTCCCACAATCTCCCCCTGTGTGGTCCAGATGGTTTGTAATTGGGGTTTTGTTTATTGCAGCAAGGTCTGATAAGTGAAGTCTGCTGGCTTCACCATGGTGCCTAGATAAGGGCTTAGAAAAGTAAAGAGCCTTGGGGGAAGGATGGGCACGGAGAAGAGTTGCAGAGCATTAGGGGGAGGGGTGGGCAGCACCAAGAAGCTTTCTTGGGGGCAGTTTGTCCCTAACAAAGAGAATCAGAAAATGGCAAAAGTCACATAGATATTAACTTGAAAATACTCATTCCCTAAGCCAGGATTGAATCTGGCCACCACTGTAAAGTGGCAGAGGCTAAACAAAACATTGTCACATGGTTACAGGTCACGCTCCCAAGGATGTAAAACAAGATGGAGGCCTGGAGCAAAGTTTGCTACTGACCATACAGAAAGTCATGCAAAGCACACCAGATTGGCTACAGCTTAAGACCAACCCCACAAATCCTTTTTCATAATTAAAACTTTACAGATAACATAAACTGTGATCCTTATCATTCCTGGCTTAGTGAAACATCTTCTAAAAGGAAAAAAAAAAACCCTCTCACTTAAAAGTTAACAGCTGACAGGGTAGAGAAAAGGATAAAAAGGTTTAAAGTGCAGGGTCGGAAATATGCCTGGGGGAAGAACCTTATTCTTATACAAATGTGTTCCTCCAACAGGGAGAGAAACTTAATTGATTTCTACCGTTGGGCACCCTTGGATCATGGGCCATGCACCCCAGCCCTGGCCTGGAGGGAGTCGGGGAGCTGCTATTGACTAATCCATCCCATGTTCACCTAAACCCGTTAGGGTAGGGTTGTGCACCATTTACCCTCAGAAGAAGTCTGAGAACAAAAAGTCTTAGAAGCAAAAGGAAAAACAGTTTTTTGGTTCACATCTGACTCACCCCTCCTTAAGCCCCACGTCTGGATGCCAAAAATGTTGCAGAACTTTCTTTTTAGTTCTGCTACAACTGGGTTCTTGTCATACGACCAAGAAAGATTATGCTCATGGACACATATAAGGGTGAAGAGCAGAATTTATTGGGTGAAAAGGAAAAAGGAAAAACAACTCTCAGCAAAGCGAGAGGGAGTCCTGCCAACAGGCTCCCACTCACAGATTGAACACCAGGCCAACACACAGGAACTGAAGAGGCCAGCCTCCTCCCCCGCTGCACAAGGCATGAATTCCTGTGGCTCCATCCCCTTCCCCCAGTGAGCAGGTGGGCATTATTCACAGAGAATCAGTCAGGAAAGAGTAGGCTTCATTTGGGACCAGCAGTCTGGTTTTTCAGGCTTCAGGCTATTTTAGGCTTGATGGTGGGGTTTCATTAGGGACCCTTGGCTGTCTCCTGTCTCTATCAGTTGCAGTTCACAACAATGTACTAACAGCCTGACTTCCTTCACCTTTCTTCTGGTAATCACATTAAATATAGACACTTTATTGTTAAATGCTGCTGTTCCAATAAATGTATTAATCTTTTCTAGGCAGATCATCAGATTAATGATTAGGATCAAAAGGGTGAAAGATTATGTGAGACTATTTTGAAAAATTATGATTTTTGTCCTGCTGAACTCTTGAACATAACTTCTTTCTCATTAAGTTGTATAAAAAACATTTTTCTATAAAAATGTTTATGTCTCTTTTGCATACAACATATCATGACAAAGGTCTGGGTAAATGTGGGGGATTATTGAATATGAAATATAAATATCAATGAGTGGAACACACTGATGTAACAGCAGAGAAAAAACAAACCCTGACAACTGAGGAGGCATGGGTATCAGGGAGAGCATTACTGATCTTTGCTTTTCAAAAATGTTCTTGGAAGCTTTCCTCTCTTCCTGAAGACTGCCAATGCTGGCTTTCCAAGCTTCTATGAGCCCTTTGAAGTAAAATTGACTCCTGAGCCTAAGATTATACCTGACAATGCTGATTATGAGACAGTAGGGGGTGGCCTTAGCTCCTGCACTTTCCACAAAAACACTTCCCAGTGTCCTGAGTAGGATAAACTGGTGTCATTGGCAAGCAAAACTGTTTGGAACAGTCTTTAGGCAATCCTTCTGAAACCAAGGACTAAACTGAATTAATTGGACTAGACTGAAAATGTTAGAGCAAAGGTCCCCCATGGTGATTTTGTCCTGATGAATTCACTGGGGATCCTTTAACCTGTATTGCCTGAATGTATGTTCAGTTTGGGGTGTGTTTCTAAGGGTAACATGTGTGCCTTCTGGGATTGTACTTCTTATGTGTGTATCCTGTCTATTATGACACTGCTTCAACCTGCAAGGCTTTCAGGTCAGCCTGCAAGGCTTACAAGTTAGCCAGAGTTAGTCTGTGTCTCAATTGTTGCATAGAGCCAGAAATAAAGGTTAATGTGGGAACTTGAGGGCACAATCCAACTTTCTAAGGTAGACCTTTCTGGCTAATGGCTTTTGTTTTTACTGGCTAAATTAAGAAAACCTGAAGGGCATAAACTGAGACCAATACTGCAGTTTGGTATCATTATGCTGTGTGGGGTCCTCCTACTACTAATTTTCGTGTAAAGATGCCTTGACTAAGGGCCAGTGGGGTGGACTGTGCACAAAAGAGTTAACATAGACATTCTCAGAGTTCTGTACTTAGAAAGGTCTTGCAAGATGGACCCTTGGCTGCTGTCTAGAAACTCAGATTTGGGAAAAATTCCCAACATTCCCGAAACTCATAAGAGTGGCTCACTGTACCTAACCTGTTTATACAAATGAAGTGGTTTATGTTAAACATCTGCTTTCCTTCTGAAAGTCTATGATTTTGGTATATGCTAGGCAGAAGGTATTTGCATTGCCAGCCTCCAGTAAAAACCCTGGTAATTGCGGATATTGAATTCTGGAATGACAGTGTGAGGAGCTACATGGACCTACTCTCCAGTGAATCCTGTAAAAATTATTTTTAAAAATCAACTATTTAATGTCTCTGAAAATGGTCCTAAGAGCATAAAACAAATGAAGAAACATATTCAGAAAATCTACCAAAATTCATTGAGGAAAGACAGTCTATGGTATTTGATATAAGAGTTCTCCTTTATCCCTCCCTCCTAATTCAGGAAGATGGAGGAAACTACATTGTAGACAGACATGGTGTTGCAGTCTTCCTGCTCCTTAGCTCAGCTAGGTCTGAGTTCTTGTCCCATAATCAGGAAGAATCAGGCACATTGACATTGGAGAGTGAGTAGGGCAGCGTAGAATTTATTAAGCAAAAGGAAAGCTCTCAGAAAACAGAGGGATCCTGAAGGCAGGTTATCATTTCACAGTTGAATATAAAGTCATTTATATAAAAGCTGATGGGGCTGGGTTTCTTATTTGCTTAAGGTGTAAATTCCTGGTGGCTCTACCCCATCCTTCCAGTGCACATGTGGGCCTTTAGCCTGAGTCACTCCATATTGATTTATTTTCTTTACTGCACATGTGTCAAGGGATGGAATTTTCCACTTCTGGCATGTTTAGGTAAGTCTCCTGCATAACTTCCCTTATCTGTGTAACTGTGGACATGTTTAGGCAAGCCCCCTGTGCAAGTTTCCTTATCTGCACAAAACATCTAGTGTAAGCACTTGCGGTATGTGTGGATTAGGCAATGACCTGGGTGGGTCGGAGGTTCTCTCAGGACCCTTCCTTTACCGTCTGCCTAAAGCAAGCTGGCTAACTCCTCTCAATAGCTAAGAGCACAGGGTTTCCTTTCCCCAGAGCTCTCAGTTAGGGGACTTCTTTCTCTGGAGTAGCAGGACATCAGTACTTCTTATCCTGCCCCCAGCTCCATGTTGCTGAGGCTAAGTGTTGGGAGAGTATGGCCAAAAGTTGAGGCTCATTTTCTCTTGCCAGTCCCCACTCATGGAATGGAGGCTCTAAATTGGATATGGTAATGCTTAGAATACTGAGGCCCCAATTACCTTTTCTCCAGCTCATAAGGCAGTGGTCCCATGACAGGAGAAGTGAGTCAAGGAGACCTAAGTCTATCCCCACATTCACTGAGCGCTCAGCTCCTAGAGCAGGAGTATTGCTCAAAGACAAGTGTGTCATTGTCTCCAACCCCAGCTCCAGATCTGTCTCAGAGATTTTGCCTGGTGGAAGAAGCAGGCCATAAAACAGATAGATCCTTTTCTCTTCCCAAATAAACTTACTTTATTTGCAATAGTGAAGTTCAAAACTAAGGATGCTGCTATGGTTTGAATGTGTCCCTTCCAAAATTTATATTAAAACTTAATCCCTAATATAACATTAATAAGAGGTAAGACCTTTAGGAAGTAATTAGGCCATGAAAATTCTCCCCTCATAGATGAGATTAGTGACCTTATACAAGGGCTGGAGGCAACTAGTAAGGCACCATTTTTGTCCTTCTGCCTTCTGCCATGTGAGGACACAGTGCTCATCCTCTCCAGAGGATATATCTTTGTTCTCCTTTCTTATCTCAGATTCTCTAAATGACATAAACTTGTATAAAATAATAATTATAGCAATGTATTAATGGGTTTTTAACATTAAGACAATATATACATATATAAAAAACACTAATACCATAAAGGAGAAAAACATAATACAGTGCTATAGAAGTAACATTTCTATATCTCATTGGAATTAAGTTGCCATAAATCTGAAGATCATTCTGATAAGTTAAAATGTGCATAGTAAGCTGTAGGGCAACTACTAAGGAAATAAAAATAAATTACAAAAAGGTTATGATAAATAATGAAATGTTTCATTAGAAAACATTCACTTAATGCAAAGGAAAGCAGTAAAGAAGAAATAGAGGATGAAAAAAGACATGAAACAAATTGGAAATAAAAAAGTAAAATGGCATACTTAAATCTTACTGTAACAGTAATAACATTAAATGTGGATGGATTAAACAATCCAGTCAAAAGCAGAGATTGTCAGATGGGATAATAAAATAAGAGTCACCTATATGCCACCTAGACAATTCACAGTATAGATTTCAAAATACAAAATGATTGAATGTAAAAGGATGAAAAAATATAAATCATACAAACAGCAGCCACAGAAAGTTTAAGTGACTGTGCTAATATTAAACACAGAGGACTTTAAAACACACACATTTTCTAATGGTAAAACATTGAACCCACCATGGGGATAGTACAATTATAAGTATACATATATTTAATAAGAAAGTACTGAAATACATGAATCAAAACTTGACAGAAATGAACAGAGAGAGTTGGGCATTTTGATACCCCATATTCAATAATGGATATAACAATTAGATGAAAGATCAAAAAATAAATAGAAAACCAGTTAGACTTAAGAGACACCAATAAAACACTCCGCTAAACAACAAATAAATTATTGTTAAATCTACATGGAACATTCTCCAGTATAGTCTATATGACAGAGCATAAGAAACAAATATATTTAAAAAGGTTAAAAATGTAAGCTATGTTCTCCAACTAGAATGGAAAGAAACAAGAAATCAATAGGGGAAGAAAAATGGAAAATCTACAAATATGTGGAAATTAAAAAACACACTCTTAAACAACCAAGAGTCAAAGACAAGTTAAAAGAAAAATTTTCAAATATTTTGAGACAAAAGAAGGTGAAAATACAGCATACAAAAATCTATGGGATGCAGCAAAAATGGTGATCGGAGGAAAATGTATAGTTGTTGATACATTATATAGAAAGAAAGATTTCAAATCAATAACATCACCTTATACCTCAAAGAATTAGGAAAAGAACAAGTTAAATTCAAAGCTAGAAGATGGAAGAAATAATAAAGATTAGGGGAGAGAAAATTGAAGAGAGAATGAAAAAAAAAATAGAGAGGATCTATGAAACCAAAAGTTTCCTCTTTGAAAAGATCAACGAAATTGGCAAGTCTTTAGCTAGACTGACTAGGAAAAGAGAGAAGACTCAAATTACTAAAAATAGAAATGAAAATGGGGCATTACTATAGTGCTTACAGAAATAAAAAGGATTATAGAAAAACATTATGAACACTTGTGCACTAACGAACTAGACAATGTAGATGAAATGAACAAATTGCTAGAAAGAAACTATCAAAACTTGCTCAAGAAGAAATAGAGAATTTGAACAGACCTATAATTGAAGAGGTTGAGTCAGTAATCAAGAACATCCAGGCTGGGTGTGGTGGCTCACACCTGTAATCCCAGCACTTTGGGAGGCTAAGGTGGGTGGATCACTTGAGTCCAGGTGTTGGAGACCAGCCTGGGCAAAATGGAAAAATCTCATCTCTACAAAAAAAATATAAAAAAAATAGCTAGGTGTGGTGGTATACACCTGTAGTCCAAGCTACTTAGGTGGGTGAAGTGAGAGGATTGCTTGAGGCTGGGAGGCAGAGGTTGCAGTGAGCCAAGATCATGACATTGCACTCCAGCCTGGGTGACAGAGTGAGACCCTGTCTCAAAAAAAAAAAAAAAAAAAAGGAGAGCACAGGACCAGATGATTTCAATAGTGAAGTCTAACAAACATTAAAAGAAGAATTAACACCAATTCTTCTCATGAAATATAAGAGAACACTTTCTAATATATACTATGAAGTCAGAATTACTCTGATTCCAAAGCCACATAAAGATATCGCAATAAAAGAATAGACCAGTATCTCTTATGAAAACAGATGCAAAAATCCTCAACACAATACTAGCAAACTTAATTCAGCAACATATTAAGAGGATTATACATCATGACTGGGATTTATCCCCAAAATGCAAGGTTTGTTTAACATGCAAAAATCAATTAATGTAATACACTATATTAATAGAATAAAAAACAAAACCACAAGGTCATATCAATACATGTGGAAAAAAATCTGATGACATTCTACACTCTTTTATGATAAAGACACTTAACAAACTAGAAACAGAACACTCTCTGATAAAAGAAGACTATAAAAACTCACAACATAAATCATGTTTAATGGTGAAATACTGGATGTTTTTCCCCTAAGAAATGAAACAATGATGGCTACTTTCTCATTTCTATTCAACATTGTAATGGAACTTCTAACCAGAGAAATTAGGGAAAGAAAAGAAATAAAAAACATGTAAATTGGAAAGAAAAAAGCAACTTTATTTGCAAATGATATATTATTGTATTCAGAAAATCATAATGAATCTACTAAAAATTATTAGTACTAATATATAATTTTGTCAAAGCTCAAGATACAAGATCAATGTTCAAAAATCAATTGCATTTGTATATGCATGCAATAGAGAATCAAAAAATTATATTAAGAAAACAATTCCATTTAGAATAGCATCAGAAAGAATAAAATGATTTGAGTCAAATTTAACAAGGGAAGTTTAAATTTACTCTAAAAATTTCAAGACATTGTGGAAAGAAATTTTAAAAGATCTAGAATTTTTTTTTTTTTTGGCAGATTAGAGGCTTTTGTTGTTCCTTAGCCACTTGGAAATAGCAAGATAATGTCAGAGGCGATTAACCAGAGCAACTCCATCTTGAGTAGGGGCTGGGGGAAATGAGGCTGAAACCTACTGGGCTGCATTCTCAGATGGTTAAGGCATTCTAAGTCACAGGATGAGATAGGAGATCGGCACAAGATACAGGTCATAAAGACCTTGTTGATAAAACACGTTGCAGTAAAGAAGCTGGCCAAAACCCACCAAAACCAAGATGGCTACGAGAGTGACCACTGGTCATCCTCACTGTTACAGTCCCACCAGCGCCATGACAGTTTACAAATGCCATGGCAACTTCAGGAATTTACCCTTTATGGTCTAAAACGGGGAGGCATAAAAAATCCACCCATTGTTTAGCATATAATCAAGAAATAAATAACCATAAAAATGGGCAACCAGCAGCCCTTGTGGCTGCTCTATGGAACAGTCATTCTTTTATTCCTTTATTTCTTAATAAACTTGCTTTCACTTTACAGATTCACCCTGAATTCTTTCTTGTGCAAGATCCAAGAACCCAGTCTTGGGGTTTGTATCTGGACCCCTTTCCGGTAACAATAGTGCATAAAGATCTATTCTGAGAGCTTTAATTCAAGATGGAAAAATGGAAATCCACCTGAGTCATGAAGGACACCCCAGAACCTGGGGGAGAGTACATCAGCAAACAGCTTTCTTGATGTCATCTGGCTGATTAAAAGAATTTGGTGCAGGGGAATCCTCTCTGCTCCACACCAGGCAGATCTCCATGCATTTGGAGTACCTGCTTACCTGGATCAGCATTCTGACATTCCCCACTCTTCCTGTGCAGAGACCCTGGTGCATAAAGGCTCTCTCTGCTTTATGCCCAGGCATATCTCCAGGCATTCAGAGCATCCACTCATCTAGCTGAGCAGTCTCAGCTGCCCCACTCTTCCTGGACATAGATTTGGTGCTGTGAGGCCCTCTGCTACACACTCAGGCAGATGAGCACCTGCTTGCCTTGTTCAGCCGCCTGAGTTTCCCCACACCTCTTGTGTAGAGATCCAGGCATGTGATCACCCAATCTCATGGATTAGGAGTTTAGGCCACCTCTTAATCTCATGCAGAGAACTTGTCATTGAGGATGTTTCCTAACTTCACACCTAGGTACACCTCAGTGCTGCCCACTAAATTCTCCTTCAGAAGAGGTTCTTGTGTCGGCCACTGGGGGACCTGTAGGCAGATCTGCCTAGTCTGGCCCCACTCCTTGTGGCCACAAACCCCCTGGGGCTGAGCAGGAAGCTAAGACCTCTGTATATTCCCTAAATAAGCTCAATGCCCAAGGCAACAGAGAGCATCTGCCAGTAAACAAAGATCAAGTATACAGCCCGCCATGTAGGCCACAGCTAGCTCTTACCCATGAGTGCCATCTACTGGCTCGTAGGTTAAACTGCACAGCCTAAAATAAAGTGCATAGGACTATAGAGACAAAGCCAAAAGACTACCCAGTATTCTCTACGGTCGCACCTGCTAGAGACAGGTAGAAAGGGGAAAGGAAAGAAAAAAATAAAATTATAGGAAAGGAAAGAAAAAGAAAAAAATTCACCCACACGAAAATAGTTACAAAAATAAGAAGTGTCAGCATCTCCAAATGAGAAGGAACCAGCATAAAAAATCTGGCACCATGAGAAATCTGAAGATAGTGAAGCCACCAAAGGATCGCACTAGCCCTCCAGCAATGGTGTCTAACCAAAATAGAAACTCAAAAGTGACGCTTAAAGAATTCATAGCACAATTTGCAAGGAAGTTCAATGTGATCGAAAACAAGGTTGAAAATAAGCACAAAGAAAAATCTAAAGCAAACCAGGAAATGAAGGAAGGGATAAACATCTTAAAAACAAACCAATAAGAAATTCTAAAATTGAAACCTTCACATAAGGAATTTCAAAATACAATGGGAAGCTTTATCAGTAGGCTGCACCAAACAGAAAAAAGACTTTCAGAACTTGAAGACTGGTCTTTTGAACTAACCCAGTCAGAAAAATAAAGAAAAAATAATTGTTACAAATGAACAAAGTTTCCAAGAAATATGGGATTATGTAATATGACTAAATTTAGGAATTATTGGCCTTCCTGAGAGAGGAAAACAAGCAAACAACCTGGAAAACATATTAGAGTCATTCAAGAAAATTTCCATAATCTTGCTAGAGAGGTAGACATCCAGATTCAAGAAATACAGAGAACACCTGCATGGTACTATATAAAATGAACATCACTAAGGCATATAGTCATCAGACTGTCCAAGATATATGCTAAAGAAGAAATCTTAAAGGCAGCTGTAGAAAAAGGTCAGATGACATACGGAGGGAGCCTCAACAGGCTAACAGAAGACTTCTCAGCAAAATCCTTACAAGCCAGGAGAGATTGGAGGCCTATATTCAGTATCTTTAAAGAAAAGAAATTCCAACCAATAATTTTTTATCCCACCAAACTCAAGTTCATAAATGAAGGAGATATAAAATATTTTTCAGACAATCAAGTGCTAAGGGAATTTGTAACCACTACACAAGCCATACAAGAGATCCTTGAGAGTTCTAAAATAGAAACAAAATAACAATACCTGTCACCACAAAACACTCCTAATTACATAGCCCACAGACACTATAAAGCAACCACACAATAGAAACTACAGAGGAACTAGCTACAAAACCTCACATATTAATAATAACCTTGAATGTAAATGGTCTAAATGTCTCACTTAAAAAGCACAGAGTGGCAATCTGGATAAGAAAAATCAAGACCCATTAATTTACTGTCTTCAAGAGAACCATCTCACTTGTAACAAAATCCATAGGCCCAAGGTAAAGGGTTGAAGAGTCATATTGCAAATGCAGAACAAAATACAGCAGAGGTTATCATTATACTTAGATAAAACAGACTTTAAACCAGCAATAGTAAAAAAGGAAAAAGAAGAGCATTACATGATGATAAATGGTTCAATTCAACAAGAAGAGTTAACTATCCTAAATATAGATGAACCCAACATTGGAGCACTGGGATTCACAAAAAGAAGTACTTCTAGACCTATAAAGAGACTGAGACAGCCACCTGATAATAGTGGGAGACTTCAACACCCCACTGTAAACATTAGACAGATCATTAAAGCAGAATACTAACAAATAAATTCTGGAATTAAATGTGACACTTGGCCAATTGAAACTAATAGACATCTACAGATTACTCCACCCATCTACTACATAATTTACATTCCTCTCTTCTGTACACAGAATATACCCCAAGATTACATAGAAATTAAACAACTTGCTCCTGAGTGATTTTGGGTTAACCATAAAGTTAATTCATAAATAAATCTCTGAAATAAATAAAAACAAAGTCACAATATACCAAAATCTCAGGATGCAGCAAAAGCCATGTCAAGACAAAATTTATATTATTAAATGCTTACCTTAAAAAGTTAGAAAGATCTCAAATTAACAGTCTAACATCACACACAAGGGAACTGGGAAAACAGGAACAAATTAACCTGAAAGCTGGCAGAAGTAAAGAAATAACTAAAATCAGGGCAGAGCTGAATAAAATTGAGACCCAAAAATCCAAACAATCAATGAAACCAAAAGTTAGACTTTTGAAAGGAAAACAAGATTGATTGATAGACCACTAGCTACATTAACCAAAAAAAAAAAAAAAGAGAAAAGATTCAAATAAGTACATACAAAAATAACAAAGGTGACATTACAATTAATCTCACAGAAATACAAAAGAACCTCAGAGATAACACATACACAAATTAGAAAACCTAGAGGAAATGGATAAATGCCTGTAAACACACAATCTCTCAAGATAAAATCAGGAAGAAATTAAAATGCTGATCAAATTAATATTGAGCCCCAAAATAGAATAAATAATGAAAAACCTACCAACCAAAAAAAGCCCTGGACCAGATGGATTCATAACTGAATTACACCAGACATACAACAAAGATTTGGTACCCATTCTATTGAAACTATTCCAAAAATTTGAGGAGAAGGGACTCTTCCCTAACTCATTCTATGAGGCCAGCATCATTCTTACTAAAACCCAGCAAAGGCACAATGAAAAAAGAAAACTACAGACCAATACATCTGATGAACATAAACACAAAAATCCTCAATAAAATCCTAGCAAACTAAATCTAGCAGCATATCAAAAAGTTAATTCAGCACAATCAAGTAGAATTTATTTCTAGGATGCAAGACTGGTTCAACATATGAACATCAATAAATGTAATTCACTACATAAACACAATTAAAAACAAAAACCATATTATCATTTCAACATATTAAAAAAAGCTTTTGATAAAATACAATATCCCTTCATGATAAAAAAAAACCTTGGCACTCAACAGCATGGACATCAAAGGAACATGTTACAAAATAATAAGAGCTATCTATGACCAACATACAGCCAACATCATACTGAATAGGCAAAAACCAGAAGCATTCCCTTGAAAATGGAAAAAGACAAGGAAGCCCACTCTCATTCCTCCTATTCAACATAGTACTGGAAGTCTTAGCCAAAGCAATCAGGCAAGAGAAAAGCATAAATGGCATCCCAATAAGAAAAGAAGAAGTCAAGCTATCTCTCCTCATGGATGAATTGATTCTTTACCTAGAAAACCCTAAAGACTCCACCAAGTGGCTTGTGGAACTGGCAAATGACTTTCCGGATACAAAATCAACATATAAAAATCAGTAGAATTTTTATACACCAGTAACATTCAAGCCAAAAGCCAAATACGGAACACAATCCCATTTACAATAGCCACAAATAAATAAAATATCTAGGAATACATCTAACTGCCGGGCATGGTGGCTCATGCCTGTAATCCCAGCACTTTGGGATGCCAAGGCAGGTGGATTGCCTGAACTCAGGAGTTCGAGACCACCTTGGGAAACATGGTGAAACCCCGTATCTACTAAAATACAAAAAATTAGCCAGGCATGGTGGTGTGGGCCTGTATTCCCAGCTACTCAGGAGGCTGAGGCATGAGAATCATTTGAGCCCAGGAGGCAGAGTTTGCAGTGAGCCAAGATCATGCCACTGAACTCCAGTTTGGGCCACAGAGTGAGACTCCGTCTCAACAAAATAAAACAAACCAAAACAAACAAACAAACAAAAAAACAGGAATACATCTAACTGAGGAGGTGAAAGATCTCTACAAGGAGAGCTACAAAACACTGCTGCTGAAAGAAATTATAGATGAAACAAACAAATGGCAAAACATTCCATGCTCATAAATAAGAAGAGTCAGTTTTGTTAAAATGCCGATACAGCTCAAAGTAATCTACAGATTCAATGCTATTCCAATCAAACTATCAATGTCATTTTTTATAGAAAAACAATTTTAAAATTCATGTGGAAGCAATAAAGACCCAAATAGCCAAAGCAATTCTAAGCAAAAGGAATGAAGCCAGAGGCATCACATTACCCAACTTCAAACTATACCATAAGGATACAGTAAACAACACAGCAGGGTATCGGTACTAAAACAGACACATAGTCCAAAGGGGGAAAAAAAGAACCCCAAAATAAAGCTGCACACCTACAGCTATGTAATCTTGGCAAAGTTGACGATAATAAATAATGGGGAAAGTACTCCCTATTCAATAAATATTGCTGGGATACCTGGCTAGCCATATGTAGAAGAATAAAACTAGACCCCTACATTTCACCGTATGCAAAAATTAACTAAACATGGATTAAAAATTTAAATGTAACACCTCAACCAATAAGAATCCTAGAAGAAAACCTAGGAAACACCCTTCTGGAGATTGGTCTTGAAAAAGAATTTATTACTAAGTCATCAAAAGCAATTGCAAGAAAATCAGAAATTGACAAGTGGGACCAAATTAAACTGAAGTGCTTCTGCACAGCAAAAGAAACTATCAACAGAGTAAAAAACCTACAGAATGGGATAAAATATTTCCAAACAATGCATTTGACAAAGATCTAATATCCAGAATGTAAAAGAAACTGAAACAATTATACAAGCAAAACTCAAATAATCCCATTAAAAATGGGTGAAAGAGATGAGCAGACACTTCTCAAAAACAAGACTTAAGAGTAGTCAACAAAAATGAAAAAAAAATGCTTCACATCAGTAATCATCAGATAAAAGCAAATCAAAACCAAGATGAGTTGACCAAGATGGCAGAATAGAGTGCTCCACCGATCATATCCCCTGCAAAGATACCTGTTTATCAACTATCTACACAAACAAAAATCCTTCATAAGAAACAAAAATCAGTTGAGCCCTTACAGTACCTGGTGTTAACTTCACTGAAACAAGCACTGAAGAGGTAGAAAAAGTCTTGAATCGCCGTCGCCACACATTTCCCCCTACCACTGGCAGCTGCAGCAGTGGCATGGTGCAGAAAGCATCTCCGAGTGCTGCGGGAGAGAAAGTACAGCAGTTGTGAGGCAACAAACTCAGTACTGTAATGCTAGAGCAGAAAGGAAAACTGGACCACATTCAGCTGATGCCTGCCCACAAAGGCAGTAGATAAAACAGCCCTAGCCAAAGGGGAATTAGTGATCCCAGTGGTTGAAACTTGAGCTCCTGCAAACCTTGCCACCCCAGGCTACAGTGCTTTGTATCTCTAAATAAACATGAAAGGCAGTCTAGACCAAAAGGACTGCAACTTTCAAGTGACTCCTAGTGCTGAACTGGCCCCAGAGACAGTGGACTGGTGGGGCATGAAACCTACTGAGACACAAGCTGGGGCAGCAGAGGGAGTGATGGCATCATCCTTCCCCTAACCCCAGGATGCACAGCTCACAGCTCCAAAAGAGACCCTTTCTTTCTGCTTGAGGAGAGAAGAGGGAAGAATTTTCCATCTCTTCAGGAGGACTCTGTCTTACATCTAAGATTTAAGCTCAGCCACAGGACAGGTCACTGTTCAGAGTCATGAGACCCCCGTTTCAGGCCATAGCTCACAGACAACATTTCTAAACACATCAAAGGCCAGAAAATGACCCTCTGCTTTGAAGGAAATAATTCGGTCCTGGCAACCTACATCAACTGCTAACTGAAGAGCCCTTGGGCCCCAAATAACCAGCAGAGATAACAAGGTACTACGTTGAGGGTCCTGGGTGAGCCTCTGAGACTTGTTGGCTTCAGGTAATTACTGGCAGAGGTGGCTATGAGGTGAAACTTCCGCTTGAGATAAGCAAACACAAAAGTGAAGGGGACTTTGTCTTGCACCTTAGGTACCAGCACAGCCACAGGGAAGTAGAGAAGCAAGTGAGCTCTTGGAGTCCCCAATTCCAGGACTTGACATCTGGATGGAATTTCTGAACTTTCCCTGGGCCAGAGGTGAGCCCATTGCCCTGAAGAGGGACTCCCAGGCCAGGTAGCATTTACTATAAGCTGACTGAAGAGCCCTTGGCCCTGAAGAGAACATCTGCAGTAGTCTGGCAGTACCCCACACTGTGACCTGTGCAAGCAGGGGCTACAGGGTGATCCTCTGCCTTTGGAAAAGGGAGAAAAGAGTGAGAATGACTGCATCTTGTGGTTTCAGTGAACACCAGGTAGACTTCTAAGGTTTATTACTCTGGTCTCTTGAGTTCCAGAGGGCATCTCTGGACATATCCAGGGCCTGGGGGAACTTGCCACTGTGAATGGAAGGCCACAGGTCTGGCTGGCCTTGTCATCTGCTGATTACAGAGCATCAGGGCCTTGAGTGACATAGGCAGTATCCAAGGAGTGGTTATAGCATGTCTTGGATGAGGCACAGTGCTCTACTGGCTTAAAGTCTGAACCAGCACAATCATAGTGGTGATGGCCACAGGGATACTTGTGTCACTCCAACTGCAGCTTCAGGTGTCTCAGAAGAGAGAGAGAGAGAGAGAGAGAGAGAGAGAGAGAGAGAAAGAGATTCTGTATATTTGGGAGAAAGTAAGAGAAGAAAACAAAAGTTTCTGCCTGGTAATCCAGAGAATTTGCCCAGATACTGCATTAAGGCAGTACCTCTACAAGTCTGCAAGAATCACAGTGTTACTAGGGCTGAGGTGTCCCCAAAGCAAGTACAGATTGTATCACAACATGCAAGTCCTTTCAAATATCTGAAAAATCTTCCCAAAAAGGACTACAACAAGCAAGCCCAAATAGCAAGGACTAAAATAAATATCAAACTCTTCAATGCTCAGACACCAAAGAACATCTGCTAGCCTCAACAATATCCATGCAAACATGACCTCACTAAATGAACTAAGTAAGCCACCAGTGAACAATCCTGAGGAAATAGAGATATGTGACCTTTCAGATGAGAATTCAAAATAGTTTTTTTGAGGAAACTCAAATAAATTCAAGATAACACAGAGAATAAATTTAGAACTCTATCAGATAAATTTAACAAAGAGATTGAAATAATTAAATAGCATCAAGAAAAAAATCTGGAGCTGAAAAATGCAATTGGCATAGTGCAGAATGCATCAGAACCCTACAAAAGCAGAATTGATCAAGCAGAAGAAGGAATTAGTGAGCTTGAAGACAGGCTACTTAAAAATATACAGTCAGAAAAAAAAACAGAAGAAAAAAGAATAAAAAACAATAAAGCACACATACAAGTTCTAGAAAATAGCCTAAAAAGTGCAAATCTAAAAGTTACTGGCCTTAAGGAGGAGATAGAGAAAGAGATAGGAGTAGAAAATTTATTCAATGGGACAATAATAGAGAATTTTTCAAATCTAGAATAAGATATTAATATTCAAGTACAATAAAATTACAGAATGCCAAGCAGACTTAAAACAAAGAAGGCTACCTCAAGGCATTCAATAATCAAAATCCAAAGAGCCAAGGGTAAAGAAAGGATCCTAAAAACAGCAAGAGAAAAGAAACAAATAATATACAAGGAAGCTTCAATACATCTGGCAGCAGACATTTCGGTGAAAACCTTACAGGCCAGGAGAGAGGGGCATGACATTTTAAAGTGCTGAAGGTACACACACACACACACACACACACACACACACACACACACACACACCAAAAAAAAAACCCAAAAAGAAAGACATTAAATCCTATCACTAAAGAAAATATCCTACATTAAAGGAAGACAAGGAATAAAGGAAGGAAGAGAAGATTATAAAACAAAAATAAAACAAATAACAATATGGCAGGAGTAAGTCTTTACTTATCAATAGTAGCATTGAATATAAATGGACTAAACTCTCCAATCAAAAGAAACAGACTGGCTGAATAGATAAAAAAACAAGAAGTATACCAACAAGAAACATACTTCACCTATAAAGACACATAACTGAAAATAAAGGGATGGAAAAAGATATTCCAATGCCAATGGTCACCAAAAAAAGAGCAGAAATCACTACACTTATATCAGACAAAATAGATTTCAAAACCAAAAAACATAAGAAGAGACAAAAGAAGGTCTCTATATAATGATAAGTCAATTCAACCAGAAAATACAACAATTTAAATATATATGCACCCAATAATGGAGCACCCAGATATGTAAAGGAAATATTAGAGCTAAAGAGAGAGACAGGCCCCAATACAATAATAGCTGCATATTTTAACATCACACTTTCAACATTGGACAGATCTTCCAGACACAAAATCAACAAAGAAACATTGGACTTAATCTGCACCATAGACCAAGCGGATCTAATAGATATTTATAGGCCATTTCATCCAACAGCTGCCGAATAAACATTCTTTTCCTCAGCACATGGACTATTCTCAAGGATGGAACATATGTTAGGTCAGGTCACCAAAGAAGTGTTATGACATTCACAAAAATTGGAAATAATACTAGGCATCTTTCCAAGCCACAATAGAATAAAAGTAGAAATCAGTAACAGGAGGAATTTTGGAAACTACACAGACACATGGCAATTAAACATATACACCTACTATCTACCCACAAAAATAAAAAATAAATAAATAAAGGAATGAAAAAAATAAAATAAGAAACAAGAAAACACTATTCTCCTGAATGACCAATGAAGAAAACAAAAAGGAAATTGAAAAATTTCTGATAATAAATCATAATGAAAACATGAGATACCAAAACCTATGAGATACAGAAAAAGCAGTACTAAGATGAAAGTTTATAGCTATATATGCCTATATATAAAAAAAGAGAAAAACTCCAAAGAAACAATCTAATGATGCATCTTAAAGATTTAGAAGGCAAGAGAAAACCAAACCTAACATTAGTGGAAGAAAAAAAATATAGATCAGAGCATCAATGGATAAAATTGAAATGAAAAAAATACAAAAGATCAAGAAAACAAAAAGTTGTTTTTTAAAAAAAGTTAAACAAAATTGACAAACCTTTAGCCAGACTAAGAAAAAAGAGAGAAGATACAAATAAATAAAATTAGAAATGCAAAAGGAGACATTACATCTGATAATATAGAAATTCAAATAATCATTAGTGGCTACTGTGAGCAACTAACTATATGCCAATATTGAAAAATCTAGAAGAAATGAACGCATTTCTAGATACAGCCTATCAAAATTTAACCAGGAAGAAATCCAAAACCTAAACAGACCAATAACAAGTAACAAGGTTGAAGCTGTAATAAACCTCTCTCAGTAAAGAAAAGCTCAGGACCTAATGGCTTCACTGCTCATTTTTGTCAAACATTTAAAGAACTAATAACAATCCCACAAAAACTATTCCAAAAAATAGAGGAGGAGGAAATACTTCCAAACTCATTTTACAAGACCATTATTACCCTGATACCAAAAACAGAAAAAGACACATCAAAATAAAAGAGAATGACAGGCCAATATCTTTGATGAATATTTTTTGCAAAATTCTCAACAAAATACTAGCAAACTGAATGTGACAATACATTAAAATCAATGATACACCATATCAACAGAATAAAAATTTAAAAACGATCATTTCAATTGATGCCAAAAAAAAATTTGATAAAATTCAACATCCATTCATGATAAAAATCTTCAAAGAACTGGGTATAGAAGGAACATACCTCAAACTAATAAAAGTCATATACAACAGTCCTGAAGCAGGTATCATACTGAATGGGAAAAAACTGAAAGCCTTTTCCTAAGATCTGGAACATCACAAGGATGCCCATTGTCACCACTACTATTCAACATAATACTAGAAGTCCTAGCTAGAGCAAGCAGATTAATTTTAAATAATGGATTTTGAAAGGTTGAAAGATGCTAAATAAATTTAAGGTATTTTTCTTTTATGTATTTATTATATGTTGAGCACATAGTAGGCATTCAATTGACAACATTTTATAAAGCACATCAACAGCAATGCCATTGGGTCCCATGAGTCTTTCTAGCCCTGAGCAGTAGTTATTCCATTTCACTGAATATTTATCAGATGGTGTTTAAAAATATTAAAAACAAGCTGGATGCTTGTTTTTATATACCCTTTTATATATATTGTTATATATATATTGTTTTATATACCCAATCTTTATACCCTTCATGTAGAATAATATTGGATTGGGGAGAATTAATTTAGTGTTACTAAGTCCAAATCCAATGAAAACTTGTTTTAATATTATTTTCTTTCTCCTCATAAAAGACAACAGACCTTTATCACTACTCCACCAATAAGCTGCCTCATAAGAGGATCTCAGAAATTATTTTCTCACATTACTAATCCTTTCAAATATAATTTTATTTCTAACTAGAGGTCAGAGAGTTATTCTCAGAGAATATGAAAAATCAGATGACTGTTTTCCTCTGACTGTTAAACTAAAATATTTCACAGGTATTCAGCTCAGGAGAAAATAACTTGTCTAACAACCAGTGCAACCTCTGGATAACACTTTGTATGGGTAAATGCCCGAACACATATAGTATATTTTATTTTCATAGGATTCAATAGCCCACCATATTTAAGATATATGATCTCATGGATGAGTCAGTGTTACTTAAAACAAATTTCAAGGCTCATTATGTGGAAATAGTGTATTAAAACAGAGAACATTGATCATACATTAAATATATTTTATTTTAAATGTTCTGTTTTTGAAATGAATCACAGGGGTTTATTGAGGCACAGAATTCATTGTTATAATTTCAGAGGGAAGATTTCTTAGGAATGTTTGGGTTAAAGTTCTTGGTTTTCTTTTGGTGCTTTGAGTTATAGCAACATTCTCAATTAGAAAATGTAGTCTGTGTGTAATAAAATAAAAATGACCAGCAAGGTAAATGCCAACTATTTATCAAAAATTATGGAGCTTGGATAGTAACTTTTTGAGAGAAGCAAGATAATTTGAAACTTTTTAGAGTTAGGCTTGGATATTTACCTGTTTCCACAGTAACTAATAATGAGAAAAAGTTTATGGGCAATCTGTATTCACCCATTCCAGAATGATGAGAGCTAAATTCATCATTGTGTTTCTTAGGCCAGAATAACCATCTTTGCTAAGAATTAATTTTCCCCCTTTTGAGGAGATAAAATTTAACTAAAGCAAGATAATTTCCTAATTTTTAAAGGTAAATTGGAAATCTGGGATTAAGATGCCCATTCTCTGAATTTCTGATAAAATGATCTTAGGCCCAAATTTGTCAAAGCTACTGACATTTTGGAAGTGTCATAATATTTCTAATTAAACTTGTAAATCAAACTGCTTTCAAAGACCACACATGTAAGCTTACCTTGAGGATGATTATCCTTTCTATGAACACCAAGGCATTTTCCTTCATATTCTGAGTCAAGGTGATATCTTTCCCCTGGTTCAGAGTCAAATGCAATTCTGTGTTCATTTTCACTGTCAGACTCCATAAGATGATTTTCCTTCTCTTCATCCATTTGACGTCTCTCATTTGCAAATTGTGTCAGACACTGTTCCCTCTGCATCCTCATCAGGTGTCTTTCACTTTCAAACTCAATGTTGTTGTCTTTAATTTTTTAGAATTTGTGTGTTTTTAGAATTAGAGTCTACATGATGTCTTTCAAAGTTTTCCAAATATTTTAGAGGGCCATCCTGATATCTTCCAGAGCTATTCAAAAGTCTTGCAGACCTATGCTGCTATGTTATAGAACAATCCCAGAATCTACCATAGTCAAAATCTGACTGTATTTTATTAGAGTCCATCTGATATCTTTCAGATTCAGACTTGAGTCTTGTCCAGCATCTTTCCAATTCAGAGGTTCTTTGGCAATTTTCAGACTTTATCATGTGTTTTCCAGAATCAGAGCTCATCCCCAGGCTTTCAGAGTGTGAGTCCATTGTACGTCTTTCAGACCCATAATTCATCCAGAGCCCTTCAGTGTCAGTCCTCAAATGGAATGTATTAGCATTCATGAGAAATTTGAAAGCTGCTAAGCCTAGCCCATATCTTCCTGAATCTAAGTCCATCCCACATGGTTCAGAGCTAAAGTCCATCATATATCTTTTAGATCTAGCCTTCTCCTGGTATTTTTCTTCCTCCATCAGATGTACCCCAGGTAAAGAGGCTGAGACCGTTTCACCCATCTCTGTGTCTGAGTCCATCAGATACCTCTAAGAAGCAGAGACCATCCAGAGTTTTTCAGTCTCAGTCAATATTTTTTCAGAGTCCATCAGGTGTTTTACAGAATCTGAGGCCATTTGGCATTTCTCTGTCTTCAGCAAGTGTTTCACAGATGCAGAGGCCATGGGGCATTTTTCAGAGTCTGAGTCTATCCCCAGTCTTTCATTGTCAGAATACAGATATTTTTCAGAGTCAGAATCTACCAAGCATTTTTACTGAACCAAAGTCCATCCAGTGTTGCAGAGAGTCAGAGTCCACCTGGCACTGTTCAACTCTCATCGGGTTTTCTGCATAGCCTGAAGCTATTTGGTAGTTTTCTGCTTCTAGCAGGTGTTTCACAGTCTGAGTCTCTAGTATGTTTTTCTGAGTCCATTCCCCATATTACCGAGTCAGAGTCTTTCAAGTGTTGTTCTAAGTCAGAGTCCAAACCAATGCCTCTATCAGAGTCAGAATCAATCACATCCTTCAGAGTCAGAGTCCATAAGGGGACTATGACTTTTAATTATTGTCAGATGTTGGAGACTTTTATAGTCCAAAGAACCAGATAAAATTTCAGAACCTTTTGTGTGAGAAACTTCTGTTTCAGATTCATTTCCTTCATCCTGTTGCGTAGTAACAGCTTCTTCATTACTTAAAGAAAAGACAAACATGAATGAATACTTGTTTAAATATTCATCAAATGTTAGCAAACACTTTTTTTTGTTGAAAATCCTATTTTAGGAAAGCATTATATAGTACATATTTTTATATTTCAGGCTGTAGAAAGCAAGATAAAACACTAAACTTCCTGTGAACAAATTGGAAGACTATCAGTGTACACAGATTTTACACTCACTTACATCTTGCCTCACATTAACTGTTTTACAGCACATCTGAAAGTAATTGCCTGACTAGGCTACTTCCTTGCAAATATACCATTTTCTTGTCCTTATCCAATCAATACATCATTATTCTGGAGGCTGAATATCATGTTAAAATGTAGTATAAAATAAAAGTAAACTATGTGTATATTTTACTCCATGATAAGATTTGTAGACTCAATTATCAATGAGGCTTACCTTGGAGTGTTGAGCTTTCCTGGAGAAAAATATTCAAAACTGTCAGGTACTCTTTCATTTTGAAGAGACACAACTTGAAGAGGAAATCTACATTCACTTGATGAACTAGTTGTAGTTATTGAACTAGTTATAGTTATTGGCTGCAAAGCAAAACAAATCATAAAGTTGTAATTTCTCAGTTGCATTTAAAATGAAACACAGTATACTTAGGCACTTAGAGGACAGTATTGCTTTACTAGTAGCACCTGTGCTTAATAGAAAGTCATAGTGAAAACCTTTTCTAAACTAAAATTTCAGAATTAATATTCAAATGTAAGAGGAGGCATAGTAGACACTTATTTGGTACCGATATTTTTCACAGAGTTAGAAAAAAAACTATTCTAACATTCATATGGAATCAAAAAGAGCCTGAATAGCCAAAGCAGTTCTAAGCAAAAAGAACAAAGCCAGAGGCATCACATTACCTGACTTTAAACTACACTATAAGGCTATAGTAACCAAAACAGCATTGTACTGGTACAAAAACAGGTGCATAGACCAATGAAACAGAATAGAAAACTCAGGCAATAAAAGCCACACACCTATAATCATATGACATTTGCAAGTCCCAAAAAAAAAAAAAAAGAAAAGCAATGAGGAAAGGAGTCCCCATTCAATAAATGGTGCTGGGATAACTGGATAGCCATATGCAGAAGATTGGAACTGGACCCCTTCCTTACACCTTATACAAAAGTTAACTCAAGATGGATTAAAGACTTAAATGCAAAACACAAAACAATAAAAACCATGGAAGATAACCTAGGAAATATCTTTCTGGACATAAATACTGGCAAAGATTTCATGACAAAGATGCCAAAAGCAAAAGCAATTGCAACAAAAACAAAAATTGATAAATGAGATCTAATTAAAGAGTTTCTGCACAGCAAAAGAAACTATCAACAGAGTAAACAGACAACTGACAGAATGGGAGAAAATTTTTGCAAAATATGCCTTTGACAAAGGTCTAACATAAAGAATCTATATAGCACTTAAAAAATTAATACGTGTAAAACAAACAATCCCATTAAAAAGTGGACAAAGGATACGAACAGACACGTTTCAAAAGAAGACATACATGCAGCCAACAAGCATATAAAAAAATGCTCAACATCACTAATCGTTAGAGAAGTGCAAATCAAAACCACAATGAGATACCATCTCACATTAGGGAAGTGAAAATCAAAACCACAATGAGATACCATTGGCTCTTATTACAAAATGGTTATTATTACAAAAAGTAACAGATACTGGCAAGGTTGCAGAGAAAAGAGAATGCTTATGCACTGGGGGTGGGAATGTAAATTAGTTCAGCCATTGTGAAAAGCAGTGTGGCAATTCCTCAAAAAACTTAAAATAATTACCATTCAACCCAGCAATCCCATTATTGGGTATATATTCAAGGGAACATAAATTGTTCTACTATAAAGACCTATGCATGTGTATGTTTATTTTAGCACTATTCACAATAGCAAAGATGTGGTATCAACTTAAATGTCCATCAGAAGTAGAGTAGATAAAGAAAATGTGGTATATGTACATTATGAAAAACTACACAGTCAAAAAAGAATGAGATTATGTCCTTTGAAGCAACATGGATGAAGCTGGAGGCCATCATGCTTAGCAAACTAACAGGAACAGAAAACCAAATACCACATGTTCTCACTTATATGTGGGAGCTTAACAATAGGAACACGTGGACACAAAGAGAACAACAGACATTGAGGCCTATTTGAGGGTGAAGGGTGGGAGGAGGGAGAGAATCAAAAAACTACCTATCTGGTACTATGCTTATTACTTGGGTGAGGAAGTCTTCTGTACAGCAAACCCTCATGACATGCAGTTTACCTATATAACAAACCTACATATGTACCCTTGAACCTAAAAAAAAATTATAAAGTGTACATACTAAGAAGGTATCTGACTACTATTCCAAAATCATAGAAATAGCTATTCAATCA
The DNA here is from genome assembly GCF_000001405.40 of Homo sapiens. Classification (NCBI taxonomy): domain Eukaryota; kingdom Metazoa; phylum Chordata; class Mammalia; order Primates; family Hominidae; genus Homo; species Homo sapiens. The sequence goes on along the minus strand of NC_000023.11, from coordinate 84,714,741 downwards.
TGACTTCTCTATCACTAGTTTTCATTATTTTAGAAGTCAAGACAAAAAGTAAGGGACAAGGAAAAACGCAAGCAAATTTTATTTAACTGGACACAATTTATGCTTAATCAAATAATATCTTCCTTCATAAATTGGTAATTAATATTCTTTTATGTGTTTGATTTATCAGGACACTTGGCCTCTTCAGGAACTATACAGATGTTTCTACTCTTTACAGAATAACCTACAGCAGCTGTGCATTTTAACACTCCATGGGGAAAAATATAACAGAAAATACAGTGAATATGGAATTCACACTGGTCATTTAGATTGCCATACTGCCTGAAGCTTTGGGGACTCTTGGCTATATTAAAGCTTTATGTCTGCCTTTTGGAACACAAAAATAAATATTTTCTTTAGCTAGAATAATTTCAAAGATGATATAAAGTACCAGAGACTGTAAGTACCAGAAAATTCCTAGTAACACCACTTTCCAGAAGTTGCACTTTTGAAATAAACTATTCTTTTTTCTAAACATTTAACTTCAGTTAACATCAAAAGAGAAACAATATTTATAAATTTATTAATTAAAACTCTATAAAATCTAATCTCTCTTTAGCTCTAAGACTATTTTCCTGAGAACTGGAATTCTGTGCAGTGCTAAGTTCTTATTGAGAGAGAAAATTGCTGTGAAACCTAAACTCAAATAAAGTTTTAAATAAATGTCTCCACCTAATGAATTTATAATAAAGTGTGCCCTTTTTCTAGGCAGTTGCTCATTTTTTTCTTCAAAGAACTGATTTACAGGTTCGCATTTTACATTAAACTGATTTTCAGTGAAGGCTGCAAAGCTCTGTCCAAAGGTTAATATCCTGATCTCTCCTTTGTATCTGCCATTTTACTGCATCTTATATAGTACTGTTAAGTTGTCATTTTGGGGTGGTGGGCTGTGTGTGTGTGTGTGTGTGTGTTGTTCTATAATCTTAACAAATTATTGCAGCCACTTAGATGAAATTCATTACACAGAACATTTCCTGATGAAGTGACATCAGAGCAATGACCACATGCCTATAATATACAGCTGCATTCTAACTATCCATTGTCTTGAAATAAATTGACTCATGGGGCATTTAGGCCTCAGAGCTCAATAGATGACAATAAGTGTACTCCAAGGTTCATGTGGAATGTAAAAATTTAAAAAAAAGCTTCTATTAATGCCCTATATTAGAATTTATAAAGAGTTTTTTCTCGTAATTTTTATTGGAAAAATGTATCTAACTAATGTTAATCTGTGATGCAATTCCATGCAAAGAAAGTTATACCATGCAATTTGCAAAATTTTAAGGAATTTAAGGCTTAAATAGGGAGATACAGGAGAGGGAAGGAGAAAATGGCAAGGAGCCATTTACCTTCTAAAGGAAATAAAGCTCACTACTTAGGGAACTTGAATCCTCAATGGTCCTCCTTTGTCTGTAAACTATCTCCATCATTGTACATTGTATATTTCCCTACAGGTTTGCTTTGAGAAAGCTTCAGAATAATAATGTTTGTCTGCGATTTAATGCCAAGTAAAGAAGCCAGATTATCTAGGTATTTTTAACAAGCACAAGTAAATACAGCCCAGTTTAAGAAAGAGTGGGTTAGTTTGAGGGGCTGGCAAACTACGCCCAATGGGCCAAATCCATTTCACCACCTATTTTTGTATGACCCAAGAGCATAGAATGTATTTTACATTTTTATTACTAAAATGTAAAAAAGCCTATTAGTCCACGAATGAGAACAGTTGCTTCAAGAATTGAGGACATTGCCTCTTGGCCTGCAAAGCCTACAATATTTACAATCTGGTCCTTTATGGAAAAAGTTTGCCAACCTCTGAACTAGACGAGCTCCAAAGCCTTTTGTGACTCAGAGTTCATGAATCTGTGCCTTTATGCAAGATAAAAAGCCCTCCTAGTACTTTAAGATGGCTTTTCAATGTAGATAAATAATTGGTCTGCATGAATTGCTGAGACTTTAGAGGCTTCTCTTTGTATTTTTAACATTATCAAAGTCAAAAGGTAGTTTTCCCCTATGGAAAATTGTGATTTAGCTGAAAAAGGAATTTGTAAGTTGCATAAAAAAAGATGCTCTGTGAATCTTCTCATTTGGACTGAAAACAATAATAATCCAATTAACCTGTAAATGCTACACATGGAGGAGCCTTTTCACATTAAAAGACATTGTGAATGCTGAGCCATCTAAGATGTTTTCCTCTTACACCTAAAAGCTGCTTTTAAGAGATGCCAAGAGAATGAGGGAACAACTTAAGGATGGATTCCCTGGTTCCAGAAGAGTAGAAATGTGTAGCTCACATCTAAAGAGAGGAGGCTACAAAGTCAGTCAATAATAAAAATCATTCCTGTTTCTTACCAACTAAAACTTTCCTTTTTGGGTTTACATGCTTTACCGAACAACTTGAACCCTGTAAGTTGGAGGACTGGACATGATGTAAATTAAACACTTCTTCATTTAATGTCATCATCACTCTTTATCAAAATCTCTTTTATTCATATATATTTTGTCAAACTGAACTATAATATATGGAAGATTAGTCCTACTTAAAATGACCAAAGATCTGAAAATGTAAGAAAGTATTTCTAGCTATACTCCAAAGAATAAATGCTATTATGATATTACTTTCTCTTAAACTTATTTATTTATTCCTTTTCCATATATACATATATGAATATGAATATATATGATTATTTCCTTACTTTTTTCTATTTACCTAGGTATCTATGGCCATATAGTCTTTTAAGCAAACAACCATTTGAACTAGTGATTCTCAGCGTGTCTATCAGTAATACAATGTTTTCAACCTTTCATAGTTAATGAGTCATATTACAGTATTAACAAAAATACTGGAAAGGACGCTTCAGAGAAAAATGAATGTTAATGAATTTATAGTTGCCAAATAGTCTACAAGCAAGGTTTATGTTCAATTATGGAACTTTTTTGTTGCATTCTTGATTAAAATGCAAAATCATGAATTGAAATCGACTCTTGCTTAATATATAAAACTTAAAGAGCTGTATCCTAATAAAAATTTTAATATGTGTGAAATCTATTAAAGTAAAAAGCATTAATTAAAAATTCATATCAAAGTGTTAGAGCATGTAGATAGCTAGATATGAACAGGAGGGGAAACTCCTAGTAGAAAAAAAGAAAAAATGTCTTGGAAGGCTCACGCCCGAGGGGGCACCCAAAATTTTCATATTAATAACATCTCTAATGCTGGAGTGGGTGGGCACTTAGTCAAATGTGAGTGAGAAGAAGAGGAGTTACCTACACAGAAAGAAACACCCAGGAATGCCTCTTAAGATGCCACTTAAGAGTTGGCATCTCTTAAAAGCAGCTTTTAGGTGTAAGAGGAAAACATCTTAGATGGCTCAGCATTCACAAGGTCTTTTAATGTGAAAAGGCTCCTCCATGTGTAGCATTTACAGGTTAATTGGATTATTATTGTTTTCAGTCCAAATGAGAAGATTCACAGAGCATCTTTTTTTATGCAACTTACAAATTCCTTTTTCAGTTAAATCACAATTTTCCATAGGGGAAAACTACCTTTTGACTTTGACAATGTTAAAAATACAAAGAGAAGCCTCTAAAGTCTCAGCATTTCATGCAGACCAATTATTTATCTACATTGAAAAGCCATCTTAAAGTACTAGGAGAGCTTTTTATCTTGCATAAAGGCACAGATTCACGAACTCTTAATAATCATTCACTCTCCAGTTAAAATGTCAGAATATTGTTAGCTACATGCTGATAAGGACAAAAGGGACATTCCTATGAGAAACCTGGCACCACAAGTACAGATTAGCACAGAGAAGGAAATTCCAAGTAGATATTCATTTGCAATAGGTATGGATTTGACCATTCTACAACCTTCCTGGGTTGGCAGTAATGAGCAGGGCCTCCATCAGGAAGGATTTGTGTTAATCACCTGCTCGTGCATGCTCATTAACCAACAGTAAGAGCGGCTCCCACAAGCCTGTGTAGAGACTACCCAGGCATGTAGGGACTTATGGCAGGCGTGTGAAAACTAGACAAAGGACAGAGGTGGGGACTTGAGACAGAGGAGGGAATTTGAAGAAATCTGACATGATAAAACTCCCTGCACGGGACCCTCAGCGCTGTTTTTTGCAGGATCAGCCTGCTCCTTCCTTGGAGTGTACTTAATTTTTCCTGCAATATGCTTTTCACACTATATTTCTTTTCAATAAAGTCCTCTGCTATCTTTGTGCTATCTGTTGGTTGAAATCTTTCTTCTAAGTTTAGAGAAGTACTGGGACATCAGCTCTCCTCAGTAATATTCCTTGGTGCTGAAACCCAGGACTTTGCCTAGTCCAAGCAGGGTTCTCTGAGGTAAGTGCCAGGAGAAATTTCAGACCCCCATTAGACTGCCTCTGCTTCTTCCTACGTAATCCAAAAATAAAATTTGAAGCCCTCCCCCTCCCCACCATCTGAATGAACTCCCTCCTCAGCCAAGGCACTCTAAATTTAACCTGAAAAACTGGTTCAGGCCATGATGGGAAGCGGGGTTGGACATGCCTCATTATGCCCTCCTCCCTTTTGGATTTCAAGAAAAGCTGACAAGCATTTAACATCAACACAGACCTTAAGTCTGATAAGAAGCATTTACAATCTATTGTTTTTGAAGTCAGCTACCTGTAGGCTTCATCTGCATGATAAAACTTTTGTCTCCACAGCCTCTTGTCATAACCCAGACATTCCTTTCCATTGATAATAACTCTTTCAACCAATTGCCAATCAGAAAAAAATTTTAAATTTGCCTATAACCTGGAAGCCCCCACTTCGAGTAGTCTTGGCTTTCTGGACCAAACTAATGCATATCTTAAATGTATTTGATTGATGTCTCATGACTCCCTAAAATGTATAAAACCAAGCTTCACCCTGACCAAGTGGGCATATGTTGTCAGGGTCTCATGAGGGCTGTGCCAGGGGCCATGGTAACTCATATTTTCCTCAGAATAAATCTCTTCAAATATTTTATAGAGTTTGACATTTTTTCCTCTTTACTATTCTAATTCTAACGCAATTCTTGCTACTTTAAAATGAGGCTTTCCTTCTCCTGCTCACTTTCAACTCCCCAGTACAATTCCCTTCAATTACAGTAACTTTTGCTCCCTCTGGCTGATTTTTCAGCTCACCCAGAAAGGTGGCAAGTGGAGGTGGGAGGACTTAAAGACCACATCATGCAGATCTAAGTTACCGTAATTCTCCCTGACAGGAGGCTTGACCTGTTGGCGGGGAATGGCCTAGGCCATGCAATGACTAGAGAATTCTATATATTTTAACTAAAACTACCATATTCCTTTGAGTTGGCTATTTTCCTTCCCTTTTACTCCATTTTATTTCCCAGACAAAATATGCCCCTGCAGGTAATCAATATCACAAATCAGTCCACCTACTCATTGCTGTCTCTTTGCCCATGGAGGGGCTTTCTTGAATACCTCCTCCACATGCAAACCCCTTGCAGGGCCTGCTCTTCTGGGTCATGCTGTGTTTACATTACTGCTGGGAGTTGAAATTCCCTATATGCCTCCTTTGAACTGTATATTTATTTTTTCCCCACGAATGCAGTTCACCTTCACCCTTTCTCTTACCTCCTTTCTCACTACTGGGGCCAAAACTGGCACGATCCTCATTTAAAGGCATCCTTTATTTACTATCAGTCCTTCTCCAGTTGAATACTCTTCTAAAACACTTCACTTTATGGTTCCTTAAACAGGCCGTCCAACTGCTCTGGACAGCCATCTGCGGCCCTCTTACTCATTCTTCCGTATCTCTTTACATCTAGGGTCTCTTATGGGCCTTGGGGAGGTTTTTCTTTTTTTTTTTTTTTGTCTTATAAGGCCATTATTGCCAAACCATGAAGCCCTCAGGTGCTTCTTGTTGTTTGTTGAGAAATCAGACAGAAAATACTCCTGGGGCTTCCTTTGTTGCTTATGTGATTAAAAGGGGGACCTAAGGGACTGGGCATCTGGAGCCCTATGCTGATTCTGGAGCCCCTCAAAGGTAAGGGATGATTCACCTTTATGGGTAATAGGTAGAGGCACAGGGTGCCTTACCTAGGCAAAGGCAAGGAATGCCTCACCTTTATGGGTTATCATAGGAATAAGTGGGGTGATATCTCCTCTATCCTATGAACTATCAGACCAGGAAGCCTGGCCAGAAGTAGGAAGTTTGGATTTTAATACCATCCACCATTTGACTCTTTCTGCTGAAGTCAGGGCAAATTGTCAGAGATCCCCTACTTGCAAGCCTTCATGGCCCTGAGGGAAAACTCTGATCTTTGTAAGGCCTGTAGAATAGAGAAAACCATCCTGGCTATGCTCCATTGTCTGCTCCAGAGCCCTCCACCAAAGATTCCTCAGCCTCCCCCATCCAAGAGCAAATACGAGAAACAGACACCCCAACTCCTTCCCCTACATATCCTACTATCAAGACTATCAAGTCAGCCCTGCCTTACACTGGGCCCTCTAACCCACTCTCCAGACTCTGCCCATTACAAGTGGTAAGTGGACCAACAGGCCAGTCACAGTCCAAGTTCCCTTTTCTATGCAGGACCTTTCTCAAGTTAAGGAAGACCTGGGAAAATTATGGATTATCCCGAGAAATTCATAGAGGGTTTCTGTAAATTAACTCTTACTTTTGAGCTTACCTGGAGGGATATAAGCATCCTCTTAGGACAAACTCTCTCATAAGAAAAAAAAAAAATACCTGTGAGGCAGCACTCTGTTGCAAGGATGACCTGCACTTGGCAAATGTCAACTACCCCATAGGAGCTACAGTTGTTCCCTATGAGGATCCCAGTTGGAATTATAATACCCAGTAGGAATATGGGCCAGAAAGCATATGCTACTATACCTAATAGAGGGAATAAAAAGGAGTAAAGTTAAACCTGAAAATTATAAGTTAGCCACCATAGACTGAGGGCCAAATGAAAACCCCACAGCCTTTCTTGAGATTCTCTAGGAAACTCTTATCAAACATGCAAACCTAGACCCAGGATCCCCAGAAGGCCAATTAGTCCTAAAAGACCACTTCCTTACCCAAGCTGCTTCAGATATTAGGAGAAAATTGCAAAGGCTAGCTTTGGGACCTAATGCCCTATGTCAGAAATCCTCAAATTGGCCTCCTCAGTTTTTTATAACTGAGATCAAGATGAAAAGAAAGGGGCCAAAGAGAAGGAGCAATGGAAAGACAGGAGACACGTTCAATTATTGGCTGCTTTACAAGTCTACCAGCCCTCTAGAGGTTGCCCTAAAAATTCCCTCCCAGGGAATTGCCATTGGTGCGTAATGCCAGGCCACTGGAAGGTAAACCGCCTTGATGGGCTAAATGGGAGAAAGCCCTACAAGGCCTGCCCCCTCTACTATCAGCCCAGACACTAGAAAAAGGACTGTCCCAAGAGCCAAAAGACTCCAGTAATGGCTTTGAGCTGAACGGGCCCTCTGTTCCAACTGTCTCCAAATCTGACATCATCATCAAAGAGACAGAGCCTTGGGCAACACTGAATGTGGCAGGTAAGACAATTCATTTTTTCTTGAATTTGGGAGCAGCCGACAAGCACTATTGAATACAGGTTGCTGGTAACTTTATGATCTTATCATTTGGGCTAGGTAAAAATTCCCAGAATGTTAATGAAGAGACTTATTTGTTTATAAACTGCTAACTGAAGGAGCACAAAAAATTAGTTGAATACCAAGAAAATACTTTGCCAGATTTTTGTTCTAAACCAGTCAGTAATAAAATTGTTTGGATATGCAGTTTTAATGATGTTCATGGTCCAAATTAATTTTGCTGTCATAACCCATCAGTTATCAGGTCTCTGCACCTAAATAGGAGAAACAAAACTGATATTTAAGAGGACATAAGTCTAATGTTAAACATAAACTCATGGAGAAGCTGTATAGCTGCTCAGTCCCTTCTGAGTCCTTAAAGCTTTTGTTATTAAAAGCTCTGCATTCCAAGACTCATCATGAAAGAGTTAAAATGATCCAAATTAAAAATTTATATATTGGTGTGGTTACTATTCTAAATTGCTGAAATAGTTCATGACCAATGTTTGGTTTATCAAACTCATATTCTTGGGATGATAATCAAAACTTCAGGTACACTTCTGCTACCTGATGACCCATTTAAACATTTATAGAGTGATTTTACTAAATTGTCATTTTCCATGCATTTTTTCTGGTTGTATAAAAGCTTTCAAGTCTGAGGTAGGAGAATCACTTGACCCTGGGAGGCGGAGGTTGCTGTGAGCCGAGATTGCCACTGCACTCTAGCCTGGACGACAAAGCGATACTCTGCCTCTGGAAAAAAAAAAAGCTTTCCTGTGCCAGAGGGTTTATATTGTAACAGTTGTAACAGCAGCTAAAAGTTTATTAGGAAATATGTTTTCCTCATAGGGCATTCTTAGAGAAGTCTCCAGTGATGTAATTACTTGTTTCACTGGACAAGTTGTAAAAGAGTTAAAAAAAAAAAAAGGTATTACAGATGCAACATCATTAAGCACGGCTAACTGAATTGACTGGATTGCTTTGGTCAAAGGTCTTGTAGACTGATGACAATCAGATCCACTTCCAGTGTAAAACACAAGTTGACACCTTATAAAATAGTATCTGGAAAGCCTATGGACCTAATAATAAAACATCATATATCATCCACTCCTAAACTCTGGTATGACTAAATCCTGCAAGGCTTTAATGCATTATGCCAAATCATATTTTCAACAGATTAAAAAAAAAGCTTTTCATGGTCCACTGAGTGAGAACAATCAACATCTTTACAGTATAGAACTTAGAGATTGGATCTTCTAAGAACAACAGCAGAGAAAGACTGTCTTTGCCATTCACACTGCAGCAAAACTTTAGGACCTTGAACAATGAGTTTGTAATCTCCCAACCAAGAAGTAACCATCCAGATCTTTGAAACTGTATGCCCATTGGAGACCTTAAAGTAAAGCTAACTAGGATAGTTTCTCCCCAGAAGCAGATGGCATCACCTGTGTGGACAGCTTTTTCCCCATATCAAAGATCAAGACTTCTCTGCTGTCAAGAGCCTTTTTTTTTGCCTTTTTACTCAAGTTTGTTTCAAAAGAAAACTTTATATCACCGCTAAAACAGAAAACCTGTCTCACATGCCATAAATAAATGTAATCATGAAACTAAATTCAATGAAACTCTTATCCCTCAATTTTTTCATTGCTTATGCCTAAACAAACAATAGAACTAAAAAAGCAGTCTCTTGTGTGCACTAATGGGGTATACTTTCATTTGAGGATAATTTCATAGCCAAACTTTTATATGGACAACCTTATGCCTTGATAAATGAAAGATGAAGGGCCTGTGTGGGTGAGAAACTGTAGCCTTGTTGCTTCATAATGAGAACTTGAACACTGGTCCACCCCTCTTAACCAATATCATAGATTAAAGAGAACATTGCTAGGAGACCTTCACTATTCTGGACTGGCATCATTTGTTAGGTGTCTTTTTCCATAGTTTGGAGTAAATGAGGCAACAATTAGAAATTTATCCCTCACAGTAGGCTTTATAGCAGATTCTACTGCAAAGGCTATGATTACATAATATTTATAAATTCTCTTGCTAAAGTTGTGCTAAAAGATAGAATTGCTGTAGATTACTTACTAGCTAAACAGAGCAGTGTCACTAAGGTTGCTGATACTTCTAGTTGTACATGGAGACATACACTGGGTATCATAGAGATTCAATTGTAGGGGATTAACAAACAGGCTGCTTGGTTAAAGCGAGTAGACTCTTTACGTGGCTCATTCTTTGACCTATTTGATTTTAGTTGATTTGGTTCATGGGGACCCTGGCTAAAGAGGATACTCCAAACTCTTCGTATTATCCTCCTGATAGTGATAATAGTAATCTTGATGTGCTGTATCATCTCGAGAGTTTTAAATGTCTGCATATAGCCATCTCTCGAATGTCAAATGGTCCCTTCTTCAACTGGAATGAAAAAATCTCAAAGAAATATGTGACCATTAGAACACCACGACATATGAATGGCATGCTGAGACTGGAAACCCCAAATGACAGTAACTGAGAGTGGCACTAAGATCTAAGTTTTGGTCATATTCTTACCTAAGTGAGTTTGAGGTTTTCAAAATGGGGAGATTTTTTAACAAAATTATGAGAGACCATTGTTTCGGACTGAGCTCATGCATTAGACCCCAACAGACCAGAAGAAACCAAAATGGAGTCACTCATGCTAAATGCATCATAACTGATCTGAAACTTTAAGGAAACAGATCCTAAAACAGACCAGGTTTTGTTTTTCTCCTGTAAACAGTAGATTCCAATACAAGGAAGTTCCCTCTTCTCTAACGCTTTTGAAAACAATAACCTGAAGTTCTCGTTCCCACCTTAAAAACCCACTGTTCTGCTATTTCCCAGTGGGTATTCAGAACAAATAAGTACATTTACTGTGATGATAGTGACATCAATGACTAAAGTGTGGTCATTCTCTCAATTTTGAGAGAGAAATTTTTAAATCAATTTTAGCCTAAAGCTGCCTCCTTACATATTTTAAGTTTGGCCTAAAGTGTCTTTATACACAGTAAACTGAAACTTAACTGGATGTGTCAACAAACTGTAACCTGCTCTTGTACCAATCACCAACTTTCAGCCAATCATAAGTGGCCAACTATTCAAATCATGTTCAAATAAGGCAAAAGCTAAGCTGTAACCAATCTGGCTGTTTCTGTACCTGATTTCCATTTTTCTGTACCTCCCTTTCCTTTTGCTACCCTTAAATACTCTTCCACCATGTGACTGTGCTGCAGTTTCCCTGAGCCTACTCACTTGGATGGCTGCTCAATCTGTGAATAATTCTTTGCTCCATTAAACTCTCTTAAATTTAATCTGTCTAAGGTTTTCCCTTAACAATGGGCACCATGCTCCAACTTACTCAACTCCCTCCTTTCTCCTTCATAAAGATAGAAGTTTGTCTCTCCTTGAGATAAGTGGCAATTAACAAACCCAGATGGACTACTCTCATGGACCAACTCCCCACCCACTTAAAGCCCTTTATCTCTTTAGTATCTTTTTTAAAATGCACATCCCTGTATTTTAAAAGTCTCCTGCTTTTTCTTTCACCAGAGTTAAGCTTAAGCTCAGGTTACACTGAGGTATCTCCTGTTTTGCAATAATGATTACTGAGTAAAATATCTTTCTACCATATTTACCAAGTGTTTGGCTTTAACACCATAACAATTTTCTTGAAAAAATGTAGCTGAACACCTTATTTCCAAATTTGATATTCTTCTTTTTTTTTTTTTTACAGTGTTAATGTCTGTTTATTGAAGTCTGCATATGCAGATAATGATGCTGGAATACTGTGAAAGGTAGTCAAGCCTTCGTTGACATCCCTTTTATTAGCTATTTACACAATCAGTAGCTACTAAAGCATTTTCTTTTTTTTTTCTTTTTTTTAAATTCTATTATTATTATACTTTAAGTTTTAGGGTACATGTGCACAATGTGCAGGTTTGTTACATATGTATACATGTGCCATGTTGGTGTGCTGCACCCATTAACTCGTCATTTAGCATTAGATATATCTCCTAATGCTATTCCTCCCCGCTCCCCCCACCCCACAACAGGCCTGGGTGTGTGATGTTCCCCTTCCTGTGTCCATGTGTTCTCATTGTTCAGTTCCCACCTATGAGTGAGAACATGCGGTGTTTGGTTTTTTGTCCTTGCAATAGTTTGCTGAGAATTATGGTTTCCAGCTTCATCCATGTCCCTACAAAGGACATGAACTCATCATTTTTTATGGCTGCAAAGTATTCCATGGTGTATATGTGCCACATTTTCTTAATCCAGTCTATCATTGTTGGACATTTGGCTTGGTTCCAAGTCTTTGCTATTGTGAATAGTGCCACAATAAACATACTTGTGCATGTGTCTTTATAGCAGCATGATTTATAATCCTTTGGGTATATACCCAGTAATGGGATGGCTGGGTCAAATGGTATTTTCTAGTTCTAGATCCCTGAGGAATCGCCACACCAACTTCCACAATGGTTGAACTAGTTTACAGTCCCACCAGCAGTGTAAAAGTGTTCCTATTTCTCCACATCCTCTCCAGCACCTGTTGTTTCCTGACTTTTTAATGATCACCATTCTAACTGGTGTGAGATGGTATCTCATTGTGGTTTTGATGCATTTCTCTGATGGCCAGTGATGATGAGCATTTTTTCATGTGTTTTTTGGCTGCATAAATGTCTTCTTTTGAGACGTGTCTGTTCACATCCTTCACCCACTTTTTGATGGAGTTGTTTGTTTTTTTCTTGTAAATTTTCTTGTAAATTTGTTTGAGTTCATTGTAGATTCTGGAAATTAGCCCTTTGTCAGATGAGTAGGTTGCAAAAATTTTCTCCCATTCTGTAGGTTGCCTGCTCAGTCTGACGGTAGTTTCTTTTGCTGTGCAGAAGCTCTTTAGTTTCATTAGATCTCATTTGTCAGTTTTGGCTTTTGTTCCCATTGCTTTTGGTGTTTGAGACATGAAGTCCTTGCCCACGCCTATGTCCTTAATGGTATTGCCTAGGTTTTCTTCTAGGGTTTTTATCGTTTTAGGTCTAACATTTAAGTCTTTAATCCATCTTGAATTCATTTTTGTATAAGGTGTAAGCAAGGGATCCAGTTTCAGCTTTCTACATATGGCTAGCCAGTTTTCCCAGCACCATTTATTAAATAGGGAATTCTTTCCCCATTGCTTGTTTTTCTCAGGTTTGTCAAAGATCAGATGGTTGTAGATATGCGGCATTATTTCTGAGGGCTCTGTTCTGTTCCCTTGGTCTATATCTCTGGTTTGGTACCAGTACCATGCTGTTTTGGTTACTGTAGCCTTGTAGTATAGTTTGAAGTCAGGTAGCATGATGCCTCCAGCTTTGTTCTTTTGGCTTAGGATTGACTTGGCAATGCGGGCTCCTTTTTGGTTCCATATGAACTTTAAAGTAGTTTTTTTCGAATTCTGTGAAGAAAGTCACTGGTATGTTGATGGGAATGGCATTGAACCTATAAATTACCTTGGGCAGTATGGCCATTTTCATGATATTGATTCTTCCTACCCATGAGCATGGAATGTTCTTCCATTTGTTTGTATCCTTTTTTATTTCCTTGAGCAGCGGTTTGTAGTTCTCCTTGAAGAGGTCCTTCACATCCCTTGTAAGTTGGATTCCTAGGTATTTTATTCTCTTTGAAGCAATTGTGAATGGGAGTTCACTCATGATTTGGCTCTCTGTTTGTCTGTTATTGGTGTATAAGAATGCTTGTGATTTTTGCAACTTGATTTTGTATCCTGAGACTTTGCTGAAGTTGCTTATCAGCTTAAGGAGATTTTGGGCTGAGACGATGCAGTTTTCTAGATATACAATCATGTCATCTGCAAACAGGGAAAATTTGACTTCCTCTTTTCCTAATTGAATGCCCTTTATTTCCTTCTCTTGCCTGATTGCCCTGGCCGGAACTTCCAACACTGTGTTGAATAGGAGTGGTGAGAGAGGGCATTCCTGTCTTGTGCCAGTTTTCAAAGGGAATGCTTCCAGTTTTTGTCCATTCAGTATGATATTGGCTGTGGGTTTGTCATAGATAGCTCTTATTATTTTGAGATACGTCCCATCAATACCTAATTTATTGAGAGTTTTTAGCATGAAGGGTTGTTGAATTTTGTCAAAGGCCTTTTCTGCATCTATTGAGATAATCATGTGGTTTTTGTCTTTGGTTCTGTTTATATGCTGGATTATGTTTATTGATTTTCATATGTTGAACCAGCCTTGCATCCCAGGGATGAAGCCCACTTGATTATGGTGGATAAGCTTTTTGATGAGCTGCTGGATTCGGTTTGCCAGTATGTTATTGAGGATTTTTGCATCGTTGTTCATCAAGGATATTGGTCTAAAATTCTGTTTTTTGGTGGTGTCTCTGCCAGCCTTTGGTATCAGGATGATGCTAGCCTCATAAAATGAGTTAGGGAGGCTTCCCTCTTTTTCTATTGATTGGAATAGTTTCAGAAGAAATGGCACCAGTTCCTCCTTGTACCTCTGATAGAATTCTGCTGTAAATCCATCTGGTCCTGGACTTTTTTTGGTTGGTAAGCTGTTAATTATTGCCTCAATTTCAGAGCCTATTATTGGTCTATTCAGAGATTCAACTTCTTCCTGGTTTAGTCTTGGGAGGGTGTATGTGTCCAGGAATTTATCCATTTCTTCTAGATTTTCTAGTTTATTTGCGTAGAGGTGTTTATAGTATTCTCTGATGGTAGTTTGTATTTCTGTGGGATCGGTGGTGATATCCCCTTTGTCATATATATGAGAAAAAGCTCATCATCAAATGCAAATCAAAACCACAATGAGATACCATCTCATGCCAATTAGAATGGTGATCATTAAAAAGTCAGGAAACAACAGATGCTGGCAAGGATGTGGAGAAATAGGAATGCTTTTACACTGTTGGTGGGAGTGTAAATTAGTTCAACCATTGTGGAAGACAGTGTGGCGATTCCTCAAGGATCTAGAACCAGAAATACCATTTGACCCAGCCATCCCATTACTGGGTATATACCCAAAAGATTATAAATCATTCTGCTATAAAGAAACATGCACACGTATGTTTATTGTAGCACTATTCCCAATAGCAAAGACTTGGAACCAACCCAAATGTCCATCAATGATAGACTGAATAAAGGAAATGTGGCAAATATACACCATGGAATACTATGCAGCCATAAAAAGAATAAGTTGTGGCTGGGCGCTGCTAGCTCACGCCTGTAATCCCAGCACTTTGGGAGGCTGAGGGGGGCAGATCACGAGGTCAGGAGATCGAGACCATCCTGGCTAACACGGTGAAACCCCGTCTCTACTGAAAAATACAAAAAATTAGCCGGGCGTGGTGGTGGGCGCCTATAGTCCCAGGTACTTGGGAGGCTGAGGCAGGAGAACGGCGTGAACCTGGGAGGCGGGGCTTGCAGTGAGCCGACATCGCGCCACTGCACTCCAGCCTGGGCGACAGAGAAAGACTCCGTCAAAAAAAAAAAAAAAAAAGAATGAGTTCACGTCCTTTGCAGGGACAGGGATGAAGCTGGAAACCATCATCCTCAGCAAAGTAACACTGGAACAGCAAACCAAGCACTGCATGTTCTCACTCATAAGTTGGAGTTGAACAATGAGAACACATGAACACAGGGAGAAGAACATCACACACTGGGGCCTGTTAGGGGGTGGGAGAAAGGGGAGGGAGAGTATTAGGACAAATACTTAATGCATGCAGGGCTTAAAACCTAGATGCTGGGTTGATAGGTGCAGCAAACCTTGATGGCACATGTATACCTATGTAACAAACCTGCACGTTCAGCACGTGTATCCCAGAACTTAATGTAAAATAAAAATAAAAAAAAAAAGAATGACACAATGGACTCTGGGGACTTGAGGGGAGGATGGGAGGCGGGTGAGGGATAAAAGACTACAAATTGGGTGCAGCATGCACTGTTCTGATGATGAGTGCATGAAAATCTCAGAAATCACACCTAAAGAACTTATCTATGTAACCAAACACCACCTGTTTCCCCAAAACGATTGACATAGTAATAATAATAATAAATCAGAAAATAAAAAATAAAGTAACATGATGAAATTAGACAATGATATGGTTTATATTTATATAACTGTTTTAGCAGTCAGACTTTTTAAAGTAGACACAAATTTAATAAAACATTTAGTCTGGCAAATTTACAAAATAAAAACTATAATAATAATTGTTTCTGTTTTCATGAATCCATTTGTTTATCAAATCTAAAAGCTGCTGTGCAGACATTTTTTAAAGCCACTTTTAAATTTTTGGAAATTTCTTATTTTTAAGCATAGTCAGTCATTATGATAATTTAATCTGTTAAATTAAAAATAATAGTATTTGCTAGTATATAATTATTACAGAAAAAAATCAAGTCCTTATGTTTTAAACCATGATACATTTGATCTCTCTATTCAAACTACCTAAAAAGTATAAGTAAACATCCAAAAGTCTGTGTAATTTTCTTGTTTTGCTAATATTATTTTAAAGTCTGGAAAGCAACAATTTTTAAAATACCCCGCAATAACTATAAAAGTGCCATACCTAAGAGTTGCTATGTTTCTCTATATAAATCTACATCCAAACCCACCCTTAATCTGAGTGGGCACAATCTAATCAGCTGTTAGTGCTGCCAGAATGAAAACAGTCAGAAGAACATCAAAAGAAAAGACTGGTTTAGTCTTCTGGCCCACATCATTCTCCTGTGCTAAATGCTTCCTGCCCTTGAACATCCAACTCCAAGTTGTTCAGCTTTGGGACTCGAACTGGCTTCCTTTCTCCTCATCTTGCAGACGGCCTATTTTGAGACCTCACCTTGTGATTGTCTGAGTCAGTACTCCTTAATAAACTCCGCTTTATATATGCAACTATCTTATTAGTTCTGTCCCTCTAGAGAACCCTGACTAATACAGATTTTGGTACCAGGAGTGGTTCTAGAGGAACAGAATATTAAGGATGGAGTTCTTCCATTGGCTTTGGGGTTTCTGGAGCTAGCTGTTTAGACCCAAGAATGCTAAGGACTGTACTTCTAGTAGTATGGAGAACACTGATAGGACTATCCTTAGCATTCTTGGGTCTAATCATATTAAGCAGCTAACTCCAGGAACACTGATAATCCTCAGGCCAAGGAGTATCAGTGTTCTCCATACTATTAGAAGTAGATTCCTTAGAATTCTTAGGCCTGTTTGGAGAGTTAAGCAAAATAAATGCATTTGATACTCCTGATTCACCGCTCTTGAGAGGCAAGGAGTTTAGTGACTCTATACATAATACCTTTAACCATCTGTGGAGAACCAAGGAATATAATGAAGTTGGTTGTTTGCTCCTAAATTCACTGGACAAAGTGATGAAAGAAAATGATGAACTTAAAGTAAAATAAAATAAAATAAAAGTAATATAACAGAGCTTTCATGATGATATTGGGAGTAGGGCAAGGAGCAGTAGTAAGATAATATGGAGTTGCTTCAACATTCTACAAACCTATAGTTGGGTAGTGTTGGTAGATACCACACAACAAAGCCTCATTTTATTCTTTCATTTTGTTTTTTTGGATCACCTTATCTTTACCAATTAGGCAATACACCTTATTTTTCCTGTTAGGTTATAAACTCTTTAAGAGAACATAACATATTTTACAATTTGAAATGCCCCTAATGCAGTGTGTATTGAATAACTCTAACAAATAGCCAACAATAAGGCATAAGAATAATATAATGGACTTTGGGGGTTTGGAGGAAAGGATGGGAAAGTGGTGAGGGATAAAAGACTACACATCAGGTACAGTGTACACTGCTTGGGTGATGGTTGCACCAAAATCTTAGAACTTACAAATAAAGATCTTATCCATGTAGCAAAAAACCTGTTCCCCAAAAACTACTATAATGAATAATTAAAAATAAATTTGAAAAGTAACAGGCAGGCCCAGAACACATGAAGACAACTGACAATAGTATTAATTAAATAAAAACTTTCCTGACTCCCTTTTTTTTTCTCATCCCTGACGCCTCACTTTCCTACCCAACCAGCAAGCTGAGAGACAAGGAGTCGGGAAATAAAGAAGGCATAAAAGACTACACACTGGGTATACTGTACAGTGCTCCCATGATGGGTGCACCAAAATCTCAGAAATTACCACTAAATAACTTTTCTATCCAACCAAATACCACCTGTTTCCCAAAAAGTATTGAAATAAAAAATACTAACCTCCCTTATCAAACTACACATGCTTCTCACAGCTAGGAAGGAGGGATCAGCTGCAACTATAAATAAAGCACTGATTTCTACATAGAATTGTACATATCAAGTGACTACAAAGTTCTATCACCTAAAATAGAGTAGAAAATTCTTGGAGCTGCCACTTTGAAAACAAGGCATCATTTCCTCTAAACATGTATTCCAATGCCTTAGGAGACTTATGATTCTACACAGTGATACAATGTAAGCCTCAGGAAAAACAGTGAATCAGAAAATGTTATCTTAAACTATTCCACTCCTTTCTACGTGCACCAGAGCACAGGAATTTCATAATGCATCCACAGTATTAAGGTCTCCTACTCCTGCTTCTCTGGGCCTGTTATCTTTCTCTTTGGGGAATTTATATTAAGTATAATATTTAGGAAAAAGTGTCAGGCATAAGAAGTGTAAACTATAAATGAAATCCTAAGTCTTGTCCCCTCTGGGCCAAGGGGACCCCAGAAACACCTTAAAAACTTAGTTCCCAGCCATGATGAGAACAAGCCTTATTATACTCCTTCCCTTTGGTGGTTTAGATACAACTGACCAGCATTAATGTTGACATAGAAATCATAAAAGACTGACAGAACAAACTTTCTGTGGCAATAGACACCAATTTATGAACAGGACCTGAGGGCATGCCAGGCATGGAAAAATTCATGCATTCCTACACTTAAAATAAATTATGCTCTAACTGCCACAAGAATTTTTTTCTCTAGCAGTTAAACAATCACTGGCCCCAAGGTGAGCAATATTAAGACAATTACAATGCATCCAGTCCACAAATGTTGAGTTAGCTGTAACTATGGCTTTGATTTCAGAAACTTTCTTCTGATAAGAAGTGCACTGACCATGACCTGGTTCTGGCCAGTTTACAGAGATTGTGTACTTTGTATCCTAAAAAGAACTTTGATGTACAGGGCTTAATTGTAATATATCTAAATATTAAGTCTCCACCTCAAAGTGAACATTGGTTGTATGTCACATGCATGCTTGCTCAATACACATGTATAAAGACCACCTTTATAAATATTCATATCTCCTTCTATAACCTGTTGAATATGTATGTTTAGCCAACCTGCTCAGCCTAAAGCTCCCACCCCATCCCTTCCTCCTTTGAAGTGCCTGTGACTGGTTTTGGCCGGAGGCATGCTTCTTAGCCTGCCATCTTGGTACCTTGCAGGATGGCCACCTTGCAGGTGGTAGACCCTTACAAGAAATAGTTTTCTCTCTTTTTCTAAATGTATAATTCATTTTTCCTTTAAGTTAACAAAAATTTCAGCAACAATATTTATTGCAGCTAAGGAATACCAACTCAGCCACAGTTTAATTCCCATAACCTATATCTACCATACCTTAAAGGTAGGAACTAAGAAGAGCCCAATAAAATGAGTTAATACATAAATCACATTACAACTTGGCAGAACTGAGAGGAGCGTATGTTATTATGTTGGTTACACAAAGCGTTAAATCTCAAAGATAACAAAAATTAGAACCATCAATGCCTGACTGATGTGGAAAATATATGAATAAAGAGACAAGAATAGAGGAGATTAGGATAGGGATCACGGAAAGGAAGTTGTGGCAAGAAGCATGCAAACATGCAAAGAGAAATGTATGGCAAGAAGCACACAAAACATTTCCCATACTTAAGACTAAATCCCTACAGGCAGAACTAAGAAACAAAATGAGAGAATTAATACTGTCAAATTATGCCCCAACCTATAGACAAAATGGACTGCCTGTGGCTAAATGAGATGCTCAAGTTAAAGGAGAACCAGGCAGCCATAGTAGGATGAGGGGCAGTTACACATTGTGTGATTTTAAAAAATGTTGCAAAAATGTCGCAAGACTTCCCTTTCTAGGAGAAGCAAAACCAAAATAGATTGTAGCTGTGAATTCCCCAGTTGACCATCTAAAGTCAGTCAAAAAAGAGAGACTTGTAGTTTTATGCTTACAGGGCATCCAATCAATTCTCTGTTCCTCACTCCCCTTATCCCGTTCCCTAGTCTTGTAGTTTTTGCCTTTATAATATCTAATTCTTCAAACCCTCCTCAGAGTGCATTTTTGCTTTGTCCCAAAGGCTGTATTTCCCTAATCCATAGATTGATTCCAGAAAATTTGTATTTCTCTAATCCATAGATTGATTCCAGAAAATAAAGCACTCTTTTTGCCTCTGCAGATCTCATGGTTTTTTTTTTATTAATAATACAAACTTCCGGTAGAATGAGAGCAAAATTTATTATTTCAAAGATGGTCCTTTAGCAAATGAGTTGTGGATATAATACATGTGGCAGGAGCTCACTAAATCTCAAATCACAATCTTTTAGAGGAACCGTAGAGAAAGGAGAAGATGCATGTTGTCAATGGTTTTCAGATGATATATTTTATGGTTTCATTAGTCATATCTACCTTTTGGCATATTAATTACCTAAATTCAGAAAAATTGTGTTTTCAAGATATTTTGATTATGTTACTCTTTTATTCTTCTTACTATTAGTTTAAATTGACTTGTAAAAATTATATATACTTATGCTATACAACATGATGTTTTGAAATATGTATACATTGTGGAATGGCTGAATCAAGCAACATATGTGTTGTCTCACACACTATTTTTGAAGAGCATATGTAAAATGTACTCTTGTAGTAATTGGCATATCAAAGAGATACCTGCACTCTTATGTTCGTTCTTATTATTCACAATAGCTAAGATATGCAATTGGCCTACATGTCCATCCACGAATAAACAGATAAAGAAAATGCAGTATATATACACAGTGGAATACTATTCAGCCTTTGAAAAGAAGAAAATCCTGTCATTTGTGAAAACATGGAAAAATTTAGAGTACATACGTTAAGTGACATGAGCCAGGCTCAGAAAGACACATGCTGCATGATCTCACTTATATATGGAATCTGAAAAAGTAAAACCTATAGAAGCTCAGAGCAGAATGGTGGTTACCAGAGGATAGAAGCAGGGGTCAGGGGATTGGCAAGATGTTGATCAAAGGACACCAAATTTTATTTAGACAGGACAAATAAGCCCAAGAGATCTATTTTACAACATGGTGACTATAGTTAATAAATTGATTATGTTAGTCTTAAAAGTGATGATGTTCATTTTATGGGCAAAGATATAGCCATGTAACTTTATAATCAAGGAAATGTACCACATCAAGAGTCAGTAAAATACCAGTATCATACTGTAAGCTTTCAAAATATAAGAAAGTTGTATTACCTCAAAGATATGAACATAATTAACAAAAAGCCAATGACAAGAATGTACAGAGCTCATTTGCTAAATCCTGAGTTGAAGCCAAATATTAGATTTTTAAAAATAAATCTTAAGACAAAATAAATGTGCAAAAATCACAAGCATTCCTATACACCAATAATAGACAAACAGAGAGCCAAATCATGAGTGAACTCCCATTCACACTTGCTGTAAAGAGAATAAAATACCTAGGAATACAACTTACAAGGGATGTGAAGGACCTCTTCAAAGAGAACTACAAACCACTGCTCAATGAAATAAGAGAGGACAAAAACAAATGGAAGAACATTCCATGCTTGTGGATAGGAAGAATAAAGATCATGAAAATGGCCATACTGTCCAAGGTAATTTATAGATTTAATGCTATCCCCATCAAGCTACCACTGACTTTCTTCACAGAATTGGAAAAAAACTACTCTAAAGTTAATATGGAACCAAAAAAGGGCCTGCATAGCCAAGTCAATCCTAAGCAAAAAGAACAAAGCTGGAGGCATCACACTACCTGACTTCAAACTATATTACAAGGCTACAACAACCAAAGTGGCATGGTACTGGTACCAAAGCAGAGATATAGACCAATGGAACAGAACAGAGCCCTCAGAAATAATACCACACATCTACAACCACCTGATCTTTGACAAACCTGACAAAAACAAGAAATGGGGAAAGGATTCCCTATTTAATAAATGGTGCTGGGAAAGCTGGCTAGCCATATGTGGAAAGCTGAAACTGGATCCCTTCCTTACACCATATACAAAAAATTAACTCAAGATGGATTAAAGACTTAAATGTAAGACCTAACACCATAAAAACCCTAGAATAAAACCTAGGCAATACCATTCAGTACATAGGCATGGGCAAAGACTTCATGACTAAAACACCAAAAGCAATGGCAACAAAAGCCAAAATAGACAAAAGGGAACTAATTAAACTAAAGAGCTTCTGTACACCAAAAGAAACTATCATCAGAGTGAACAGGCAACCCACAGAATGGGAGAAAATCTTTGCAATCTACTCATCTGACAAAGGGCTAATACCCAGAATCTACAAAGTACTTAAACAAATTTACAAGAAAAAAACAAACAATCCCATCAAAAAGTGGGCAAAGGATATGAACAGATGCTTCTCAAAAGAAGACAATTATGCAGCCAACAGATATATGAAAAAATGCTCACCATCACTGGTCATCAGAGAAATGCAAATCAAAACCATAATGAGATACCATCTCACGCCAGTTAGGATGGTGATCATTAAAAAGTCAGGAAACAACAGATGCTGGAGAGGATGTGGATAAATAGGAATGCTTTTACACTGTTGGTGGGAGTGTTAATTAGTTCAACCATTGTGGAAGACAGTGTAGCGATTCCTCAAGGATCTAGAACTAGAAATACCGTTTGATCCAGCAATCCCATTACTGGGTATATACCCAAAGGATTATAAATCATTCCACTATAAAGACACATGCACACATATGTCTATTGCAGCACTATTTACAATAGCAAAGACTTGGAACCAACCCAAATGTCCATCAATGAGAGACTGGAGAAAGAAAATGTGGCACATATACACCATGGAATACTATGCAGCCATAAAAAAGGATGAGTTTATGTCCTTTGCAGGGACATGGATGAATCTGGAAACCATCATTCTAAGCAAACTATCACAAGGACAGAAAATCAAACGCCACATGTTCTCACTCATAGGTGGGAGTTGAACAATGAGAACACATGGACACAGGGTAGAGAACATCACACACTGGTGCCTGTTAGGGGGTGAGAGGCAGGGGGAGGGATAGCATTAGGAGAAATACCTAATGTAAATGATGAGTTGATGGGTGCAGCAAACCAACATGGCACATGTATACCTATGTAACAAATCTGCACTTTTGCATGTGTACCCTAGAACTTAAAGTATAATAATAATAAAAAAGACTGAGCCAAATTTTCTTACACCACATAACTTGTTTATCTAATTGAAACCAAAGGAAATATATTCCCCAAGTCCAAGACCAATGATGTAGATCAACATCGAGAAGCAAAATATCATCTAAGCCAATTTTTCATTCATCTTGATATTATTTTCTCTGTTTACCCTTCCCATGTTAGAGTTGAAAATTCCACTTACCATAGGACAGTGAACATATCCACAATTTTATGAAGCGTTGGTCAGAAAATTTCACAAGTGCTCACTATGGAATATGAAAAATCTGCTTCAGTTTAAAATTTCAAATGCAATTATCAACTTAGAGACACATATTTGGGAGTACTGAATAATTTCTAAGCCAAAAATTGTTATCGTCTGTCATAATATAAAAAGACAGAAGACTTGATTATACTGAAGAATGTTCATTAGAAAACTCTTTATGGATGATTCAGGAGCTAAGTGAGCCATCGATATTGGCCCTGAAATGATCACTGAACACATTTGTAAATAATAAGAATTATAAGAATGAAGCACCACACACATTAATTCAAACATCAGCTTACCATTAATTAAATAGAACACTGTATGATGAAATAGAAAATTTGCAACCCAGTAAAAGCACAGTAAATTCATATCTTAGGCAAATAACTTGTCATTTTGACACTTGGCTTTATCATCTATAAAATAGAAAAACACAATAGCTATTCTTTACAGACTACTCATTGAGTATCTACTTCATGTTAGGCAGTGTGTGTGTGTGTGTGTGTGCATGTGTGTGTATATGTGTGCGTGCAAATCCATATTCTAATTTAAATTAATGGTAACTTTACAAGCTATCATTATTCATCTCAACTACCAGAAGAGGAAATCAACTAATAGTAAATGATTTACCCAAATCATATATCTGATAAGAGGTAGAGGCAGAATTTGACCTTGTATCTGCTAGACTCAAAGATTATGCCTTGACAGTTATACAATATTCTCTCAGTGTACAAAAAAAAGTTCCTTTTAAACTATAAAAACCTATACCCACATTAGGGCAGTATGTTTTTCTAGCCTCTCCATAGAGGATGAGGAAGGGACACTGGATTGGATGATATTGCATGTTGTCTCATGATATCCCACTGGATGTATTCAATAATCTGTTTATCTATGTGACTTTATTATTATAATGTAAAAAGACTGATTTCCTTAAGGCATTTATCCTCCTGGCTTTTTATCAAGGAATGAGGGCAAAGTCCACGTACATTACTTGTCTCCTCTATGACACACAGTATATGGCCTTCTGTAATGCTATCTGGATCAAACCCCAGAGGAGTCAATATTGGCTCACTCTATTTATAATAGTAAATTTTCAGAATCTTAGCACAGAATTCCAAATTTTAGTAAAGGATTGAGAAATTGTTGAATCTATCCTCTCATCATATGCAGAAATTTATTTTAAAAAATTAACTATAAAATACAGAATAACTCAGCTATATATTTCAAAAAGGTTTATTTTAAAATGAAAAAGTTAATATCCATTGCAGCTTGTTCAAGTATATCCAAGGAAATGTTAGAACTTCATGCTGTAATATGGCTCTGAGGAAAAGTAGTAAAACATTTTGCTCATTCTAGAAGTAGACGTAGCAGTGGAAGAAGCAGTAGTACTACTTTGTCAAGGGTGAGGATTCCCAAGACCTCCTGTTTGGAGATTTGCTAGGATTCATGGGGCTCAGCATATAGTTGTACTCATGGCTAAGATCTACTATAGGGATGTAGTAAGAATACACTGCAGGATGATAAGAGAAAATGACACTGTTGGAGTCTGGAGGAATCCATGGGCAGGACTCCGTATGCTCTCTCCTACTGAGAAGTCACACAGAGCACACTTTTCCTCTAGCAACAAAAATGAAGCAACATGTATTCAGTGGTTTTACTCGGGGTGCCCATTAGAGACTTAGAACCGAAGGATTGTTTTTTGAGGGAATAGGGTTGGAGGCTGGTCATGTAGGCATTCACTGTCTAGCACATACAAAATTTCAGATTCCTAGAAGTAAATGGGGCATTCAACAAAAGCTACATCATTTGTACAAAATCTATAGGTATAGTGAGCCACTCTTACTGAGCAAACAGAGAAAAGCCAAGTTTCCAGACACTAGCCAAAGCCTAATTTTCACAAGCAAGCTTTTCTAGGAATAACAGTCCCAGTCCTGCTATGTTAACTTTTTTTGCACACTACCACTGCCCAAATAGGGCTTCCTTCTAAGCATTAAGCAAAATCAATTTTAAATGTACCTTTGATAACATCAAAGAAGTAAATACGTAAGTGGATATGTCCTACAAGATATGAAGAGTTATTGGAAGTCTGTAGTAATTAAGACAGGGTAGTATTGGTACAAGAATATGCAAATGAACCATTGTAACAAAATACAGCACCCAGAAACTGATACATGTATATATAAAACTTTCATAGAAGTGATGTTGCAAAAGGGTTGGGAAATAGCAACTATTCAATAAATAGTATTGGAAGAATTGGTGATCCATTTGGAGAAAAATAAAACTAGATATTTGCCATATTTTATTTCAAAAATTTAGCTAGATTAATAAGCTAAATATAATATGCAAAATTTTAAATTTTTTTAAAGAAAATACTGTAGAGCAACTCTCTGACCTTGGGAGCATAAGGAATTTCTTAAGTAATACATGAAGAACACTATCAAGAAAGAAAAAGATTAATAAATTCTACTATGTTAAAATTAAGGCAACACCATGAAGACAGTTAAAAGGTAAGCCATAAACTGGGAGAAGCTATTCGAAGAATATGCAACCTCAGAGAACCAGTATCTAGAATATATAAAGAACTACAAATAAGAAAAAAAGATAAATAACACAATACAAAAATAAATATTTCGCAGAAGAGCAAACATGTCTAGCCAATATGTATATTAAAATTTGGGAAACTAAATAATCAGGGAAATCCAAATAAGTACACGATAATATACCATTTTACATCACTAAATTGAAATGTTAGACAATACAAAGTATTAAAGAGAGTAGATCAACAGGAACTCTTTACATTGCTGGTGAGGCATATGAATTTGTACAACTAATTTTGAAAGTAACTAAACATCATTTTGTAAAGTTGAACATTTGCTTACACTATAACTCAAAAAATCAAGAAAAAAGTCTCACCGACTTTCCCCATGTGCACTATTGTGTTCATATCTTATATGTAAACATGCAGAATCAAAATTCTTTATTTTACAAGCAAAACTAAAAAAAAATTTAAGAAAAGTACTTTGAAAAATAAAACTGCTTTGCATATATAATTTGCATGTATTATGTAATTCCAACCAAATTCAAATCAACAGTAATGAAAAGTTATTCTCTCTTAACTGCGAACAAGATAGTTCACATAGTAAATCCCTTACAAAATACAAGATCATCCTAACCTGTTCTGTATTTGTTTGTTCTCACACTGCTATAAAGAACTACTTGAGACTGGGTAATTTATGAAGAAAGGAGGTTTAATTGACTCACAGTTCCACAGGCTATACAGGAAGCATGGTTAGGAGGCCTTAGGAAACTTACAATCATGGCAGAAAGCAAAGGGGAAGCAAGCACGTCTTACCATGGCAGAGCAGGAAAGAGAGAGCAAAGGGGGAAGTGCTACACACTTTCAAACAACCAGATCCCCTGAGAACTCACTGACTATTTATTGGGAGAACAGCAAGGGGAAAATCTGCCCTCATGATCCAATCACCTCCCACCAGGCCCCTCCTCCGACACTGGGAATTACAATTCAATATGAGATTTGGGTGGAGAAAAAGAGCTAAACCATATCATGTTCCTTGCTCTTCTACTTTTGTGAAAAAATTTTATTATTTTTAAAATGTCATATGGTTTGAATAGGGACCCTTGGCTTAGGATTCTTAGCATATTTCAGTGCACAATTACTAAGTATTGTTAAATGTAGTGTTCATTTTCAGAAAGTGTCATCCAAATTGAGAAATTGCATGCATTTGCTTTAAAAGCCGGTTTTTGTTTTTCCAAAATTTTATTGAGGAAAAACATGATTTGTGGTAATTCTTGAATTTTCTTCTTGAGAAGCTATAATATTTTGAAACACATTTTACCGAAAGAATATGTAATTTTAAGGCAGTAGAAATAACCTTACATTATGGTTAGAATGTCAGAATAACCTACAGAGAAAGTTATTTATCTTAGACATGTCATTATAAATACCAGATTCTTTCTCCTGACAGAATTAGTAATAAGTAAGAGAGAGCAGGAGTTGCAAACAGAGGAAGTAAGTCCAATTTTCAAAGAGTTGGGATAAGTATTTTTGAAAAGAATGTATTTTGGCAAAAAGCACTTTTTTGAATATGCAATAAAATAGAAGAAAAAGTAACACAGGTCTATGTCAGATTGATTGTTCACATCATCTATTTACTTTGTCTAATCAAGTGCATAATGATGTAAATGAAAATCTTAAGTAGAAACTACAGAAAACACAGACATCATACCATTGTTTTCTTCCCACTCACTTTATTCTTATGATATATGCAAACATTTGCACAAAGAACACAAGAAAAAGTCTTCTGGGACTATTAAAATATTTCCATTGTTAAAACATTGCCTTTTGTTTTATCTTCCCCAGGTCATATTTTTCTGTTCCCTTTATTACTTCTGAAAACATAAATTATATAGCT
Source organism: Homo sapiens (assembly GCF_000001405.40). NCBI lineage: Eukaryota > Metazoa > Chordata > Mammalia > Primates > Hominidae > Homo > Homo sapiens. Next base: position 84,686,971 of record NC_000023.11, on the reverse strand, counting down.
TTCCTAAATACCTTTGACAGAATGCCAGAGAGAGGGCACCTGCAAAAGCAACATGCTATGTTATGTTATTTCTACAACAAAATTGCCAATAAACAAGAGTTTTATTACAGCATTCCTAAGCGTTTACCAGCATAAATTCTGTTCTGAAGATAAAAACGAATAACTATAACCAAAAGGGTTCTACCCAGCCCCTTAATACAGTGAAGGGAATGCTTCCAGAGACTCTCAAGTTACATATGAATGTCTGTCATGTAAGTCAGGAAGTCTTGAGGTATTAGTCCAGCCTCACTGCAGACCTCCACTCCACTGAGAGTTCCTAACATCCTAGCCTTTGTTTTAATCCAAATACTCCCAAGTCTTCCAATCTTAATATAAATAGCATAGCATCTTCCAAAAGGGAGTCTCTCCTTTTCCTTAACACTATCTCCTTTCTTCCCTGAGCTGATACTTTAATCTCCTCAACCTACCTTGACTAGTCAACATTGGTATATTCTTGGCCACTTTTTTCCCTCTGAACTTCTCTACGTGAACTCACTTCAATATAACTCTTTAGAAAAATAAATATACTCATTTCTTCTTTTTTTCTGTTCTCATAAAATATATTGTTATTCATAGGGGCATAAACAGCTAACTTTTTGTTTATAGTGGTTTGCATATTAGGACTGTTTGGAAGTGGCAGCGTTACTAATAAATAAGTTTCTGAATGGATCATATAATACCAGGACTGCACACTTAAGACTTGTTTTAACTTCAAATATCAAGGTTGGCCTACATATGTTTCTTCAGGGCTAACTGTATGTGGGAAAAAACAAAGTTCGGCCGGCGTTTTCCTCCGTCTGCCTCTTCATTGCTGTCAGCTCTAGGTCCCTAGATACCCAGTACCCTCATGCTATCACAAAGATATGAAAATGTGCCTTATTCCCAACCTTTTCTTCTCCTTTCAACACTGCATCAGAGCCCTGCAACTCTCCATACTGAGAAATGATTTGAGCTAAGTACTGATAAATGATTTGAGCAAATTCACTCCCTCTGGGATAAAAGTCACATTTTGACAGCTACCATCACCCAAAGAAGTGGCTGCAGGAAGCAATTGTGGGAAATATTTTAGGCACCAAAACAGGTGTCTGGAATAAATGCTTCTTAGAAAAGTAACCTTTCTTAGCATTCTTTATATAGAATACATATTTCATAGAATATATATTCTTTATAAAGACATAAGTATAGTCAGGTCAGAGCACAGAATATAGTACCCAGAAACTGAAAAGCATTTGTAATTCTGATGTTACACAATATGTAACATATTACATGTAAATCATCCTCATTTGGTTTTCATGAGTTTACCAACTTAAAACATCTGACATAATTCCAACTTAAAAGTACAGTTCAAATATATCAAATGGAGAACACTTCTTATTTTAAAAGGTGATAAACAATAATTAATTGTGTGAAAATAAGAAATTTCATTCACTTAAACACAGTTTCTAAAATAAATTTCCCCATAAAATGTGTTCCTTCAGGTTTTATGCTTTACTGAAATCTTATTTTATGAATGTCCAGGATGTTTTCTTAAAAAGTAGGCTTTGAGGAATCTCTTCTTGGCCTCTTAAAATGCATTCTACTATGGTAAAAAAAAATACAACACTGGAATGGTATTCCAGAGACCTCTAAAAGTAAAGGTATCCTTTGGTATTTGCAGGGCAGTCGTTCCAGGTCCCCCACACATACCAAAATTCACTCATATTCAAATCCCACAGTCAATTCTGTGGAATCTGCAGATGTGAAAAGTCAGTCTACCACATACACAGGTTTTGGATACCACAAATACTATACTTTCAACCTGCATTTGGTTATGGAGGTGCAAATTACCTATACGAAGAGTTGACTGTATTTACTGAGAAAAAAATCCACATATAAGTGGACCTGTGCAGTTCAAACCCCTGTTGTTGAAGGGCCAACTGTACTGTCCTATATGCTGATTAGCTGTGTAATATGAACACATCAATTTATTTTTCTATGCTTCACAGTTAGAGAAAAGGGCTTATTTGGAACAAATTATAATGGGAAAATTATAATTATAATCATAATAATAAATGGCTTTTCCTTGTAGCAAAGTCTTTTATATCCAATACTAAAACCCTCTGCAGATGCTTTAAGTTGTATCTTAAGCTGTATATATGTATATATATACACACACATATATACAGCTTTATATACAGCTGTATATCTTTAAGCTGTATATATGTGTGTGTGTGTATATATATATATATATATATATATATATATGACAGTTTCTTTGTCCACTTGTTGGTTGATGGGCATTTGGGTTGGTTCCACGATTTTGCAATTGTGAATTATACTGCTATAAACATGTGTGTGCAAGTATCTTTTTTGTATAATGACTTCTTTTCCTCTAGGTAGTTACCCAGTAGTGAGATTGCTGTATCAAACAGTATTTCTACTTTTAGTTCTTTAAAAAATATCTATATGGTTTTCCATAGTGGCTGTACTAGTTTACATTCCCACCAACAGTGTAGAAGTGTTCCCTGATCATTGCATCCGCGCCAACATCTACTATTTTTTAATTTTTTGATTATGGCCATTCTTGCAGGAGTAAGGTGGTATCACATTGTGGTTTTGATTTGCATTTCCCTGATCATTAGTGATGTTAGGCATTTTCTGATATGTTCATTGGCCATTTGTGTATCTTCTTTTGAGAACTGTGTATTAATGTATAATTTGTATACTAGAAAGAAAACAAAAAAACTCAGATTCTTACAATGGAAAGTGGAAATTCAGAATAATTGGATAAGTAGATACTTATTAAAAACAAGCCCAATTTAATATTAATACAATGAATATAAATGGGTTAAACTCATCATTATAAGACACAAAATTAAATACAAGCTATAAAATGAGATTTCCCAAAGTGTTGTTCACAAGAGACATACTTTAAGAAAGACATACAAATATTTAAAACAAAAGGATGGAAATGATACACAAGCAAAAATGAATGAAATGATGTCAGTTTAACAACATTTGCTTTAAAAAAGCTAGAATTAAGGGCAAAACATCATGAGGAATAATATGCTATATATGTTTCAAAGGAAAAGTATAATAAGAATAAATATCTGACAAAGTTTATTAGGCAACAAAAGTTGCAAATCAAAATGGTGCATATTTTCAGGAAACCTCTTACAGAAAATGACACATTAATCAGACATAAATAAGCATACATTTTAAGAACTTAAACAATATGCATAAGCCTGAGATATTAATTATACATATTTCTCTTACTCAATAATAGAGAATACACATTATTTTAGAACACTCACAAAAGTTCATAGAAACAGATAAATTTACCACAAAGGGATCCTCAACAAATTTCAAAGGATTGAAAAATCATACAGACTGTGTCCTCTAACCATATGGTTGGAGACTAAACAGCATATTGTTAACTGACACTTGAGTTAAAGGACATCATGAAGAAAAAAGAGATTTATTCAGAATTCAATGATAATAGAAAGCACTATGTGACTAAATTTGTATAACATGATAAAGGTATTGAAAATTTATTGCATCAAACGTGTTTCAACAGTGAGAAAAGAAAGATTAAGAAAATAAGCTGAGCATTCAATTCCAGAAGTTGGAAAATGCAACACAGTAAACACCAAAAAGAAATAAGTAAATAATAATAAAAAGGGTAGAAATCAGTGCAATAGAAGACAAAAGTACAAAAAGCTTGATTATCTAGATTATACAAGATACTCCTCAAAATCAAAGAAAAAAGGTAACAATATTAAAGAAAATTGGCCATATATAAACAGGTAACTCCTATCAGAGGAAACCTAGAAAGGCTAACCTATATTTGAAGAAAAGCTCAATTTATTAGTTATCAGAGAAAAAAACATGTTCTATTAATCAGAGTTACTGAAATTAGAAAGCTTGAATATTGTCAAGTTTTGGTGAGAACGTGTAAAAATAGAAATATCTCTCTCTATATATATACATATATATGTATATATATACACATATATATATGTGTCTTGGATAGAAAATGCAGCACTTTTGAAACATAGGACGTAACTCTCAGATACTAATATATACAACATTAAAACATGAGTACCTACTACCATTTTTGGCAATGAAAACTGAAAAAAATCTAAGGAAGTGCTACCTCTTCAGAAAACAAATGTTAAGTACCAAATATATAAATATGTAACCCCTGGAGGACAGAAAGCATTTCAATTTTGTGTGGAATATCATATGCCTAGTACAAGGCTTTGAAATAAATCAATTTAATTTTTCAAAAACCAATTTATCTTAGCAATTTTGAAATATCCATTACATTATTATAAACTATAGGCACAATGCTATAAAATAGATCTCAAAAACTTATTTATCCGATCTATCTCAAGTTTTGTACTGTTTGACCAGTATCTTTGACCCTTTTCCTTCTGGCCCCCAGCCTCTGGTAACCACCATTCTAGATCTCTACATCTATGAATTTTTGAAGAAAGTAGATTTTAAATGTTCGCACCACACACACACAAAATGTGATGTAATAGATGTGTTAATTAGCTTAATTCAATCGTCCCATAAAATACGCATATACTAAAACATCACATTGTACCCCATAAATATATACAAATATTATCAGTTATAAATAAAATTTAAAGCAATTTAAATATTGAAGGACATTTGTGATCTTTTTTATTAGACAATTAATATTATCAAATAGGTTCATTTATTTATTTTTCTTTGAGATGGAGTCTAGCTCTATCGCCCAGACTGGAGTGCAGTGGTGCGATCTCGGCTCATTGCAACCTCTGCCTCCCAGGTTCAAGCAATTCTCCTGCCTCAGCCTCCGGAGCAGCTGGGATTACAGGCACCTGACACCATGCCCAGCTATCTTTTTTTTTTTTTTTGTATTTTTAGTAGAGACAGGGTTTCACTGTGTTGGCCAGGCTGGTCTTGAACTCCTGACCTCATGATCTGCCTGCCTTGGCCTCCCAAAGTGCTGGGATTACAAAAGTGAGCCACCATGGCTAGTCAAAAAAAAAAAAAAAAAAAAAAAACAACCAAATTTAAGAAAAGAATCATAGATAGATAGATAGAAAATTGGAAAGACAACTCATACTCCGGTTGGAAGATTTACTGTTATTAAGATGGCAATAATCTCCAAAATTTATCAACACAATATCTATTAACATCCCAGGTAGCTTGTTTTACGGAAGGAGTGGCTTCAACAAGGTGGCCAACTGGAATCCCTGAGCAATAACCACCTTCCAGAAAGATAGATAAAACAATAGATTAACAACAACATTTTGATGAAAATAACAAAATTAGAGCACTGGAGTAAATCAAAGGAGTAGCAGAAATCCTGTAGATCACAGAAACTTAGGATAGCTATGTAGAGAAAGCAAGAAAACATGTAGTGTCTACCACTACATTCCCTAGTTGGGCTCAGCTTGGAATTAGAACAGAGTTCGCCTTGTGGGGAAAAAGTAAACAATAGACCCCAACAACCCTCATCAACACCTTGGACACCTACAGTCCTCACCTTGCAATTCTCACAGAAACTAAGCCCAACTGAGGTACCTGTCAGGGTCCACACATTTGTGCTCCCCGCAGAGAAAGAGCTGACCTTCTGCCCTGCCCCCTGTGGCCTGCACAACTACAGTGCTATGCCATCTTATAACTAGAACTACTGTTAGAGTTTGTCCTGTTTTGGGAGTGAGTGACCACGACATACTTCTTTCTTTGAGGCTTAGCAACCACTGAACCACACACGCCCAGTGGCCTGCTATCACCAAGCTGAGCTGCTGCTATACCTTACCCTATGGGGTCAACTGTCCATGGAGCTAAATTTACCCATCCCAGTCATTTTTGTGCCTTCCGCCTTCAGAGCCTGAGCTGAAGATGCACGTTATCTATTGAGAAAATGATACCTTGGGGGAGCCAACCCATCTAACCCACAAAGACATTGCTGTGCCCTGTCCCTCAAACCTTGAGCTTAAGTTGTGCACTGGCCTTCAGGGAAACTGCTTTGCTGGAGTCACTCTATTTACCCTTCTCAGTCACTCAGATCCCCTAGAGCTCCAAGCTGTAGGTGAGCACTCTCTCCCAATAAAATGATACATTGGTGGAGCAACTTAATCTACCCCTCCCAGTCACTAATATAATTAGTCCCACTGTGACTGAGCTGAAGGGGCACCCAGCAAGCAGGAAAGACAGTACCTTGGCCACTCAAAGCAGTCATGCCCTCCTGGTGCCTGAATTGAAGCAGTTCCCTGCATCCTGGGAAATCGCATCTTGGCCACCCAAAGAACTTATGATCCCCCAGGGCCTGAACTGAAGCAGTACCCTGTGACCTGGGAAAAAGTGCCTTGGCCTCCCAGTGTGGTCATACTCCTCTGTGCCTAAGCTGAAACAGCACCTTACATCCCAGAGAAACAGCGCCTTGGCCACTCAAAGCAGTCACACTCCATGAATCCAAGCCAAAGTGGTGCATTTCTTCCCAGGGAATCAGTGCTTTGGCCATGCTAAGCAACCATGTGTCCCAGGGCTGAGCTGACATGGCATCCCACATCACAGAGAAACAGAATATTGGCTGAGCTGAAACACTCCACACTATAGGCCAAACCACAATAGTATCCAGCTTCCCCAAAGCTGGAATTGCCTCCTAGAATCTTAACTTCTGAGACACTACCCTCCCCAGAGAGTGGACTCAGTGCTATGCTGCTCCCTGCCCCTCAGGGTCCAAATGACAGCTGTGCTCTGCCATTCTGGAGTCTTTTTTACCACTGCAAGTGGCCTGGTCACCAAGCATCTGGGAATACTGTCAAGTTCCAGCATCCCAGGATCCAAAGTAATCACTACATGATGCCTCATATGCCATGACCTACATTATCACTGTGCCACATTGGCTCTGGTTTATAAAGTGCAGCTCTACACTGCTACTGTAGCCAAAACCTCCAGAGCACCCCTTCACTCCTGGAGCTAAACCAGAAATTCCTGGAGCTAAACCAAACCTACAATCTGGACCCTGGATCTTAAGCTGCTGGGAGAGCCTCTGAATTATAGGTCCTGGCTCTGCGGACAATCTACATTCAATTCTGCCTTAGAGGGTGGACTTGCACCTGAACACTAAAGGACCACAATAGTTTTATGAGATCGTGAGCCTAGGACCATAGCTCCACAGCCTTTCTGAGCACATGTGCCCTTGAACCCAGCACCATGGTAGCTTCTTGTAGGCTGTGTCAGACCTGACACCAAGAAGAATCCTGTTGGATAAGTCTCTCCATTGTGGGAAAAACAATAAAAAGAGTCCCCCCCCAACCCCCCGCAAAGCTCTTGTCACTGAGGACACTAACAACTTATGCTGCTGCCACTGCTGCTAAAATTCCTACAGCGCAGGCCGCTGAGGCACTCACACTCATTGCTAACATTGATCACTCATGAAGAAGTTGCATAGAAGCTATACCACTGCATCTACTCAGAACCAGATTGACCACATACTTCCCAACAAACACACTAAGACTCATCTGCAGGGGAAATTATTTCTCTATGAAAGCCACATTGTAAAGATTGGAAGAGGTGATTGTTTCACCAGATGTTCATACATCAATGCAGGGATAGAAGAAACATTAAAAAGCAAGGAAATGTTACAGCACCAAAGAAACACAATAACTCTCCAGTAACTAACCCTAGATATAAGGAAGTCCATGAATTTAGCAGATAAAAAAAATTAAGATAGTAATCTTAAGGAAACTCCAAGATACAAGAGGCTATAAATAGATAATTCAACAAAATCAGCAGAACAATTTTTAATATGAATTAGAAATTTAGCAAAGAGATAAATGTCATAAAAGAAATCAAACAGAAATTTTGAAGCTGAAGAATTCAACAAATGAAATAAAAACTACAATGAAGAGCTTCAACAGTAAACTAGCTCAAACAGGAGAAAGAATCTAAACTCAAAGATAGGTCTTTTGAAATTATTCATTCAGAGAAAAAATAAGAAATAAGAATAAAATGAGAAGACAGTCTATGGAATTTATCAAATACTGTTAAGTAAACAAACACTTGCACTGTGGAAAACAAGAAAGAGAAGAGACAAAGGTAGACACAGAAAACTTATTTAATGAAATAATTGCTGAAAAATTCCAAAGTGTTGAAACAGATATGGACATATAGATACATGAAACTTAAAGGTCCTCGAACAGATTAAATTCAAAGAGGTCCTCATCAAGGCCAATTATAATTTAGTTGTCAAATATCAAAGGCAAAGAGAAAAATGTAAAGCAGCAAGAGAAATGCGTAAAGGTACATGCAAGGGAAACCCCATTGGATCATCAGTAAATTTCTCAGTAGAAACCCTACAGGCAAGGAGAGGATGAGATAATATATTCAAAGTGCTGAAAAGAAAAACCTGCCAAGCAAGAATGCTATACCCAGTGAAACTGTCCTTCAAAAATGAAGAACTACACTATCTCCCAGACAAGCAAAATTGAGGGAGTTCATCACCCTAGACCTCCCCTCCTGTACAAGAAATGTTTAAAGCAGTTCTTCAAGTAGAAACATAAAAACACTAATTACTAACATGAAAACATGTGAAAGTGTAAAATTCATTGGTAAAGGTAAATATATACTCAAATTCAGAATACCTCAATTTTGTAATGGCTCTCTGTAAATCATATATATAACTAGTAGGAAGGTTAAAAATCAAAACAGTCAAAATGATGTTAGCTAAATAAGTCATTAAGAAATACTATAAAAATGATGTAAATTGTGACATCAAAAATGTGTATTTTGAGGGGAAGGTAAAAGTCTATAGATTTTGTATGCAACAGAAGTTGTTAACTGTAAAATAGTCCATTATAATTAAAAGATGTTTCATGTAAGCCTCGTGGTAAACACAAAGCAAAAACTATAGCAGATACACACACAATAAATAGAAAGGAATCAAAACATAGCACTGAAGAAAATAGCCGAATCACAAAATAAACAAGGGAAAATGAAAAGGGACAAAGGATCTATAAAACCACCAGAAAAAAATAACAAAGTGGCAGTAGTAAGTCCTTACCTATCAATAATTCCTTTGAATGTAAATGGATTGAATTATGCAATTACAAGACATAGAATGGCTAAATAAATTTTAAAAAAAACACCCAACTATATACTCCCTACAAATAACCACTTTAACTTCATGACACACATAGGCTGAAAATAAAGCAATGGAAGAAGATATTCCATACTAATAACCAAAATGAACAGGGGTGCCGATTCTTAGATATAATAGAGTTTAAGTAAAAAGCTGTCACAAGAGAAAAAATTAAGTATTTAATGATAAATGCACAATTAACTAATAAGACAAAAATTGTAAATATGTATGCACCCAACTTTGCAGCTTCTGAATATATAAAGCAAATTATAATGAATATGAAGGGAGAAATAAATAACAACTCAATGACAGTAGAGAACTTCAATACCCCACTTTCAACAATGTGCAGATCAAACAGAATAATCATTCATAAAATATAGGAATTTAACTGCAATTTTAACAAAATGTACTTACAGAACTTTCCATTAAATATAAGCAGAATATACATTGATCTCGAGTGCACATGGCACAGTCTCCAGAATATGATAGGCCACAGAAGTCTAAAGAAATATTTTATATATTTAATTTTATCAAATACTGTTTTCAACTAGAATGGTATAAAACTTAAAATCAGTAACAGGAAGAATCATAGAAACTACACAAAAAAATAAAAATTAAACAACGGGGTCCTGAACAACCAAAGGGTCAATGAAGAAATTAAAAGAAAATTTAAAAATAATTTCTAGAGACAAATGAAAATGAAAACAACATACCAAAATCGATGAGTTACAGTAAAAACAGTAATCAGAGGAAAGTTTATAGCAATAAACACTTTCATCAATGAAGATTGATCTTGAGATCAGTAAGCAACCTAATGTTGCACCTCAAGGAAGTAGAAAAACTAAAACAAACTAAACTCAAAATTAGTAGAAGGAAAGAAGTAATAAAGATCAAAGCAGAACTAAATGAAATTGAAACAAATCATACACAATATCAATTAAATTAAGAGCTATTTATTTTGAAAAATCAAAGATAGAAAAGAAGGATTACAACTGGTACAACAGAAATACAAGAGTATAAGAGACTATTAATAAAAACCATATGTGAACAAATTGAAAAACTGAGAAGAAATGGATGAATTTCTAGACATATAAAACCTACCAAAATTGAATCATGAAGGAACAAAAATCTAAACAGATCAATAATGTGACAAAATTGAATCAATAATAAAAAGTATCTCTTCAAAGAAAAGCCCAGGAACTGGTGGCTTCACTGCTGATATATACCAAATTTTAAATTGCTAATACCAATAATTCTCAAACTGTTCCAGAAAATTGAAGAGGAAGGAATTGTTTCAAATTCTTTCTACAAGGCCAGCATTACTCTGATAACAAAACAAGACAAGAAACTAACAAAAAACAAAAAATACTGGCCAATATCTCTGATGGGCATAGATGCAAAAATACACCAGAAAATACTAGGAAACAAAATTCAACAGCACATAATTATTCGTGATGATCAAGTGGGATTCATTCCAGGGATGCAATGATGCTTGAATATATACAAATAAATAAATGTGATTTATTGCATTAACACAGTGAAAGACAAAATCCATATGACAGTAAAATAGACACAGAAAAAGCATTTGACAAAATTCAACATCCTTTCATTATTAAAAAAACTCTCAACAAATTGGGCATAGAAGGCATGTACCTCAATACACACACACACACACACACACACACACACACACACACACACACACACATAAACAACCATAAAAGACACACACAGATAATATCATAGAGAACAGGGAAAAGTTCAAAGCTTATCTTCTAAGTTATGGAATACACAAGAATGCCCAGTTTCACCACTTCTATTCAATATAGTTCTGGAAGTTCTAGCCAGAGCTATAAGGCAAAAGAAAGAAATAAAAGGAATTCAAACTGGAAAATAAGTCAACCTGCTCTGTTTATAGGTGGCACGATAGTATGTCTAGAAAATGCTCAAGGCTTAATAGTTAGAACTATTAAGCAAATTCAGTAACATTGCAGGATACAAACTTAACTTACAAAAATCAGTTGTATTTCTACACAATAATAGTGAACCATCTAAAAAGGAAATCAAGAAAACAATCCCAGCATTAGGAACTCGATATACCTTATAGATATATCTAAACCTTAGGGAATAGATGTGAGCAGAAGGGTCCATCTGCTATTATAAATGAAAACAAACAGGAAAGTGTTTTTTTTATCTTTGCCCCCTCAATGGATTTAGTCACTGCGTATGTCAGATATGTTTTACTATCTGACATTGAGAAATTATCTGTTACTGTATTTTTTTAAAAGTTAACTTTTGTAGGTAAGTAATAGGTGTATATATGTATGAGGTACATAAGACGTTTTGGTACAGACATGTAATGTATAATAATCACATCATGATGAATGAGATATCCATCCCCTCAAGCATTTATCCTTTGTGTTACAAACAATCCATTTGTACATTTGATAATAACTAACTCTTTTAGTTATTATCAAATATAATTCATTATATAATATTATATCACCAGATATAATTAGTTATATAATAACTAACTCTTTTAGTTCTTATCAAATGTACAATTATTATTGACTATAGAAAACTTGTGCTACAAAATAGTCTTATTCATTCTTCTTAACTACTTATTTTTACTCATTAATCATCCCCACCTCCCTCCCCAGCCCCTTCCACTACCCTTCCCAGCCTCTAGTAAACATCCTTCTACTCTCTACTCCCATGAATTCAATTATTTTGATTTTTAGATCCCACAAATAAGTGAGAAAATACAATATTTGACTTTCTGTGCATGGCTTATTGCACTTAACTTTATGATCTCCAGTACCACCCATGCTGTAGCAAATGATAGAATGTCATTGTTTTTTATGGCTGAATAGTACTCCACAGTGTGTAAGTATGACATTTTCTTTATCCATTCTTATGTTGATGGACACTTAGGTTACTTCCGAATCTTGGCTATTGAAAAAAGTGCTGCAACAAACATGGAAGTACACCAACCTCTTTGATATACTGATTTCCTTTATTTTGGGTATGTACCCAGTAGTGGGATTGCTGAATCATATGAGTAGCTATATTTTTCAGTTTTTTTTTTAATAAACCTCCAAACTGTTCTCCATAGTTTTTGTACTAATTTACATTTCCACCAACGGTGTTAAAAGGGTTCCCTTTTCTCCACATCCTTGTCAGCATTTGTTATTGGCTGTCTTTTGGATGTAAGCTATTTTAACTAGGGTGAGATGGTATCTCATTGTAGTTTTGATTTGTATTTCTCAGTGATCAGTGATGTTAAGCACCTTTTAATATGACTGTTTGCCATTTGTATGTCTTCTTTGAGAAATGTATACTCAAATATTTTGCCCGTTTTTTACAGGATTATTAGATTTTTTTCCTATAGAATAGTTTGAGCTCTTTATATTTTCTGGTTATTAATCCCTTGCCAGATGGATAGTTTGCAAATATTTTCTCCCATTTTGTGGGTAGTCTCTTTACTTCGTTGATTGTTTCTCTTGATGTGAAGAAGGTTTTTAACTTATTGTAATCCCATTTGTCCTTTTTTGTTTTGGTTGTTTGTGCTTGTGGGGTATTACTCAAGCAATTTTTGCCCAGACCAATGTCCTGGAAATTTTCCCCAATGTTTTCATGTAATAGTTTCACAGTTGGAGGTCTTATATTTATGTCTTCAATTCATTTTGATTTGATTTTTTGTATATAGCGAGAGATACAAATCTAGTTTTTCTTCTACATATGGATATCCAGTTTTCCTGAAACCATTTATTGAAGAGACTATCTTTTTTCCCAGTGTATGTTCTTGGCACCTTTGTCAAAAACGAGCTATCTGTAGATGTGCGGATTTGTTTCTGGGTTTTATATTCCATTCCATTGGTCTATGTGTCTGTTTTTACAACAGTACTATGCTGTTTTGATTACCATAGCTTTGTGGTGTAATCTGAAGCCAGGTAATGTGATTCTTCTGTTTTTGTTCTTCTTGCTTAATCTAGCGTTAGCTATTCTGGGTGTTTTGTGGTTCTGTGTAAATTTTAGGATTTTTTTTCTATTTCTGTAAAGAATGTTACTGGTATTTTGAAATGAATTGAATTGAATCTGTAGATTGCTATGGATAGTATGGATATTTTAACAATATTGATTTTTCTAATTCATAAAGATTGAATTTTGTTTTTTTTTTTTTTTTGCTGTCCTCTTCAATTTCTTTTATCAGAGGATTTTAGTTTTCATAATAGAGATCTTTCACTTCTTTGGTTAATTCCTAGGTACCTAATTTTATGTGTGGTTATTGTATATGTAATTACTTTTTAATTTATTTTGCAGGTTGTTTACTATTAGCATATAGAAATGCTATTGATTTTTGTATATTAATATTGTATCCTGAAACTTTACAGAATTTGTTTCTCAGTTCTAAAAGTTTTTTGTGGTGTATTAAGGTTTTTCCAAATGTAAGATGATATCATCTGCAAACAAGGATAATTTGATTTTCTTTCCAATTTGGATGCCGTTTATTTCTTTCTCTTGTCTGATAGTTCTAGCTAGGAGTGCCAGCACTATGTTGAATAACAGCGGTGAAAAGTAGACATTCTTGTCGTGTTCCAAATCTTAGAGTAAAGGCTTTCAATTTCCCTCCATTAAGTATGATAGTAGCTGTGGACCTGTCATATATGGCTTTCATTATGTTGAGGTATGTTTCTTCTGCACCCAGTTTTTTTAAGATTTTTTTTTTTATTGTAAAGGGATGCTGAATTTAATCAAATGCTTTTTCAGCATCAGTTGAAAGATCATGTTGATTTTGTCCATCATTCTTTTGATATGATGCATAATACTGATCGATTTGTGTGTGTTAAACCATCTTTGCATCCCAGGGATATATACCACTTGGTCATAATGAATGATCATTCTAATGTATTGTTGAATTCAGTTTGCTAGATTTTGTTGAGGATTTTTGCATCAATATTCATCAGAGACATTGGCCTGTAGTTTTCTTTTTTTTGGTGTTTCTTTGTCTGGTTTTTGTATCAGGGTAATACTGGCCTTGCAGAATTAGCTTGGAAATATTCCCTGCTCCTCAATTTTTTAGAATAGTTTGAATAGCATTGGTACTCTTTCTTCTTTAAACATTTGGTAGAATTCAGCAGTGAAGCCATCAAGTCCCTCACTTTCCTTTACTGGGAGACCTTTCATTATAGCTTCAATCTCATTATTTGTTATTGGTCTGTTTATGTTTTGGATTTATTCATGGTTTAATCTTGGTAGAATTTATGTGTCCAGGAATTTGTCCATTTCTTCTAGATTTTCAAATTTATTAGCATATAGTGGCTCATAGTAGGCACTAATGACATTTTCAATAACTAAAGTATCAGTTGTAATATCTTCTTATTTATCTCTGATATTATTTATTTGGGCCTTTCTATTTTTTTCTGAGTCTAGCTATAGTTTTGTTAATATTTCAATTTTTCAAAAAACCATCTTTTTGTTTCATTGATCTTTTTATTGTTTTCTTCATTTCAAATTCATTTATTTCTGCTCTAGTTTTTATTATTTCTGTTTTGCTGGTTCTGAGTTTGGTTTGCTCTTGTTTTCCTAGTTCTTTCAGATGTATTGTAATGTTATTTGAAGTTTTTATTCTTTTTCAAAGTAGGAAGTTATAACTAAGATCTTCCCTCTTAGTACTGGTTTTGATGTATTCCATAGGATTTAGTATGTTGTATTTCCACTATCATTTGTTGCAATAAATGTTTCCATCTTTTTTCTTAATTTCTTCGTTGACTTATTGGTTATTCAGAGCATGTTGTTTAATTTCCAGGTATATATTTTTCAAAATTTCTCTTGTTATTGCTTTTTAGTTTTATTTCATTCTGGTCAGAGAAGATGCTTGATATTACTTCAACTTTTTGAATGTTTTAAGACTTGCTTTGTGATCTAACATATGCTCAATTCTTAAGAAACATCCACATGCTGAGGAAAAACAATTTGTATTTTGAAGTCATTGAATTAAATTTTCTGTAAATATCTATTAGATCCATTTGGTCTATAATACAGATTAAGTCCAATGTTTCTTTATTGATTTTTTGCCTGGAAGACATCTCTAATGCTGAAAATGAGGTGTTGAGGTCTCCAGGTATTATTCTATTGGAGTCAATCTCTCTTTTTAGCTCTAATAATATGTAATTTATATATCTGGGTGCTCCAGTGCTAGGTGTATATATATTTAATATTTTATATCCTCTTGTTGTATTGACCATTTATCATGATATAGTTTCCTTCCTTGTCTCTTATTATAGTTTTTGTCTTGATATTTATTTTGTCTGAGATGTGTATTGTGAGTCTTGCTCTTTTTTGGTTTCCATTGGCATGGAATATCTTTTTCTATTCTTTTATTTTCAATCTACGTGTGTCTTTATAGGTGAAATATGTTTCTTGTAAGCAACAGACCATTGAGATTTTCTGATTGTTTGTTTTTTACCCATTGAGCCACTCTATGTCTTTTGATTGGAGAGTTTAGTCCATTTATATACAATGTTGTTGTTGATAAGTAAGGATTTACTCTCTCCATTAAGTCATTTTTTTTCTGGTTGTATTGTGGTCTTCACCTCCTTCTTTCTTTCCTTTCTATCTTCTTCTAGTGAAGAAGATTTTCTTTGGTGATATGATTTGGTGTCTTGTTTTTTATTTTTTGTGTATTCATGGTATTTTTTAAAATTTGGGGTTACCATGAGTTTGCAAATGCTAAATAAGCCATTATTTTAAGCTTATAACATCTTAACATTGTTTGCAAAAGAAACCAACAAGCAAAAAGAAAACTATCAAAAAATCTATGCCTTAACTTTGTCTTCTGCTTTTTAACTGTTATTTGAGTTCATGTCTTCTTGTACTGTGTACGTCTGGAAAAGTTGCTGTAGTTATTATTTTTGACTGATTCATGGTTTATTTCTAATTAGTATAAGAGTAATTTACATACCACACTTAAAGTGTTATAATATTCTGTGTTTTTCTGTTTACTTACTATTACCTGTGAGTTTTGTACTATCAGGTGATTACTTATTGTTCATTTACTTATTTTAATTTCTGATTAAAGTACTCCCTTTAGCATTTCTTGTAGGATAGGTGAGATATTGATAAAATGACTCAGCTTTTGTTTGTCTGGGGAAGTCTTTATTTCTTCTTCATGTTTGAAGAATATCTTCTCAAGATAGATTATTCTAGTGCAAAGGTTTTTTTTCTTCAGTACTTTAGATATTTCGTGCCTTTCTTTTCAGACCTGTAAGGTTTCCACTGAAAAGTCTGTTGCAAGATGTATTGGAGCTCCATTGTATGTTATTTGTTTCTTTTTTCTTGCTGTTTTTAGGATCCTTTATTTATACTTGACCATTGGGCGTTTGATTACTAAACGCCTTAGGGTAGACTTCTTTGGGTTAAATCTGCTTGGTGTTCCATACCTTCTTATAATTGGATATTGTTATCTTGCTTTAGATTTGAAAAGTTCTCTGTTAATATCCCTTTGAATAAGCTTTCTATCCTGATCTCTTTCTCTGTCTCGTCTTTAAGGCCAATGACTCTTAGATTTGCCCTTTTGAGCCTATTTTCTAGATCCTGTAGGCATGGTTCTTTGATGTTTTCTTTTTTCATCTCTTATGTATATGTTCAAATAATCTGTTTTTAAGTTCACTAATTATTTCTTCTGCTTGATAAATTCTGCTATTATATATAGGGCTCTCATGCATTCTTCAGCATGTCAATTGCATTTTTTAGCTCCAAAACTTCTGCTCGATTATTTTTAATTATTTTAATGTCTTTGTTAAATTTATCTGATAAAATTCTGAATTTTTTTCTGTGTTATTTTGAATTGGAGTTTCTTCAAAATAGATATTTTGAACTCTCTGTTTAAAAGATCAAATATATTTATTTGTTCCCTGGTGACTTATTTAGTTCATTCGGTGAGGTCCTGCTTTCTTGGGTTGTATTGATACCTGTATATGTTTATTTGTGCCTGGCATTGTAGAGTTAATTATTTATTATCATCCTCACAGTCTGGGCTTGTTTGAACTATTTCTTCTTGGGAAAGCTTTCCAGATATTCAAGAGGACTTGGGTACTGTGACCTAAGATGTAACTGCTTTAGGGGACACTCAAAGTCCAATAACACTGTAGACTTATGGAGGTATCATCCTGATGGACTTGGACAAGATCCAAGATAAATCTTTGAATTACCAGGCAGAGACTTTCATTCTCTTCACTTACTTTCTTTAAAACAGTCTCTCTCTCTCTCTCTCTGTTCTGAGCCATGTGAAACTGGGGCTGGAGTGACACAAACACCCCTGTGGCCACCACCACAATTACTGTACTGGGTCAAATATAAAGCCAGCACAGCACTGGGTCTCACCCAAGGTCTGCTGAAACCACTCCCTGGCTACTGTTTATGTTTTCTTAAGGCCCTGGGGCTCTACAATTAGCACTACAATTAGTGTCAATGACAGCCAGGCCTGTGTCCTTCTCTCCAGTGCGTTGAGTTCCTCCTGGTCCTGGGTAGGTTCAGATGTGCCATCCACAAGCCAGGGGCTAGAGTCAAAATCTTTAGAAGTGTACCTGGTATTCATTTGACCCAGCCATCCCATTACTGGGTATATACCCAAAGGACTATAAATCATGCTGTTATAAAGACACATGCACACGTATGTTTATTGTGGCACTATTCACAATAGTAAAGACTTGGAACCAACCCAAATGTCCAACAATGATAGACTGGATTAAGAAAATGTGGCACATATACACCATGGAATACTATGCAGCCATAAAAAATGATGAGTTCATGTCCTTTGTAGGGACATGGGTGAAATTGGAAATCATCATTCTCAGTAAACTATCGCAAGGACAAAAAACCAAACACCACATGTTCTCACTCATAGATGGGAATTGAACAATGAGAACACATGGACAGAGGAAGGGGAACATCACACTCTGGGGACTGTTGTGGGGTGGGGGTAGCGGGGAGGGATAGCATTAGGAGATATACCTAATGCTAAATGACGAGTTAATGGGTGCAGCACACCAGCATGGCACATGTATACATATGTAACTAACCTGCACATTGTGCACATGTACCCTAAAACTTAAAGTATAATAATAATTTAAAAAAAAAAGGAAAAAAAAAGACAAAAAAAAAAATAAAGGAAGTGTACCTGGTATTCTGTTGTACTGTGGCTGAGCTGGCACTCAAACCAGAAGACACAGTCTTTCCCTTTCTCTCTCTCTCTCTTTTTCTTCCCCAAAGGCAGAAGAGCCTCAACCCATGGCTACTACTATCACAGGCCCATGGCGAGTACTGCCAGACTATCGTCAATGTTCCCTTAAGGCCCAAGGGCTCTTTAGTTAGCTTGTGGTAACTGTTGCCTGGCCTGGGACTCACCCTTCAGTGCAGTGGGCTTCACTTTGGCCTGGGGAATTTCCAGAAATGTCATCCAACAGCCCTCCTTTGGAATTGGGGACCCCAAGATCTTGCTGGGTGTTTTACCCCTCTGTGACTAAGTAGGCACCTGAGTGCAGACAAAGTCCCCTTTACTTTTTTCTCTGCTTTTCTCAGGCAGAAAGAGTCTTATTCTATATCTACCATAGCTTGAAATGTGCTGATGGCACCACATCTCAGAGTCGCACCCAAAGCCCTCAACGTAGTACCTGGGCATCTCTGGTGGTTTTTCGGGGCCCAAGGGCTCTTCAGTTAGCAGGTGATGCATCCTGCCAGAACTGGGTCCTTCCCTTCAGGGCAGCATGTTACCTTCTGGCCCTGAGTGTTTCTAGAAATTTCATCTGAGAACTAGGGCCTGGAAATGGGACCTTGTGACTCTGATGGCTTATTTTGCTGTGGCTGAGTTGGTATCCAAAATGCAAGACAAATTTATCTCCACTATTCCGTCTCCTCTCCTCAAGTGAAAGGAAGGGGTCTGTTTTGAATTTGTGAGCCATGCCACCTGGGGTTAGGTGAGTGGTGACGACAGCACTTTCTTAGCCACCTCAGCTAGTGTCTCAGTAGGTCACATACCCCATCTCAACCCCCTAAGTCTACTGGCTCTGGGCCTAGTTCAGCACTAGGACTTTCCTAGGAGTTGCAGTCCTTGTGACCTAGACTGACTTTCAAGTTTATTTAGAGCACCAGACTGCTTTAACTCATGGTGGTGAGGCTTGCAAAAACCCAAGTTCCACCTGCTGTGATTGGTGATTCCCCTCTGGCTAGGGCTGGTTTAAATTCTCACCTCCCCATGGGCAGGCATTAGCTGAATTTTGTTCAGTTTTCTTTTCTATTCTAACAAGACAGCAGTGAGTTCAATGACTAAAAATTGCTGTGCTTTCCTTCCTGCATTGCTCAGAATTGCTGTCTACACAATGCTGCAACTGCTGGGGCATGGGGTAGGGGTGGTGTCGGTGATTCAAGACAGTTTTTCCTACCTCTTCTGTGTGTCTTACAGTGATATAAAGTTAAAACCAGGTCCTGTGAGTGCTCACCTGGTTTATGGATCTTATTAAGATGTTTTCTTTTATGTAGATAGTTGTTAAATTAGTGTCCTTTCATAGGGTAAAATCAGTGGAGTTTTCTTATCTGCCATCTTGCTCTACCTCCAGCCCTGTTATTGTATTTTTAAAATAGGCACAAGTAGGAGCTCAAGAAAACACTGCCCTATACCCACAATCTTTAGCAGGAGCAGGATGTACCTTTTTGCATTGAACCTAGACTCTAAATTTATTTATAAAGGTCAATGTTATTGAACTTTAAATGTAAACTTTTGAACTTAAGAAGGAATGAACTATTGATATACAAAATACCATAGATGAATCTCAAAATAATTAAATTAAGTAGATGATACTGGAAAAAAAACGAGTATTTAACCTATGATTCCATTTATATAAAACTCTAGAAAATACAAGGGACATGAGGAAACTTTTGGTGGTGCTATATTTGTTCATTACCTTAATTGTGGTGATGGATGTCAAAACTTAACAAATTGTATACTTTAATATATGCAGTTTATTGTACATCAACTATACCTCAATAAAGATGTTTAACATTTAAACATAAAATAAGCAGAGTCAAAATAATAGCTATAAAAATATAAGATACTTAGAAATAAATTTAACCAAGAAGGTGAGAGGTCACTCCACTAAAATGTATAAATCACTGACAAAAAATTGAAGGCATAAATAAATAAAAAGATATCCTGTGCCCTTGAATAGAGATAAATATTATCGTTAAAATGTACCAATGACCCAAAGTGATGTACAGACTCAATGCAATCTCTATCAAAATATCAATAACATTCATCAAAGAAATAGCAAAAAACATTCTACAATTCATTTAGAACCACAAAATACTTTCAATAGCCAAAGCAATTAAGCAAAAATTATGAAGCTATAAGCATAACACTACCTAACTTCAAAATATACTACAAAGTAACCAAAGCAGCATGCCACAGGCATAAAGCCAAACACATGGATAAACTGAACAAAATAATTCCATGCATCTGCATCCAACTGATTCTCAGTAAAGATGCCAGAAGCACACACTGGGGAAAGGGCAGTTTCTTCAGTAAATGGTGCTGGGAAAACTGAATATTCACACACACGAAAATGAAATTGGAACATTATCTTGAACGACAAACAAAAAGCAACCCCAAATGGATTAAAGACTTAAATGAAAGACCCAGAACTGTGAACTTAATAGAAGGAAACTGAGGGCAAATGCTTCATGATGTTAGTGTGGTCAAGGATATTTTGGATAAGATATCAAAAGCACAGGCAACAAAGGCAAACATGAGACAAATGGGATTACATCAAATTAAGAAACTAATCCACAGCAAAGGAAACAATGGAGAAAAGAGACAACCTACATAATGGGAGAAAATATTTGGAAGCTATACATCTGACAATATGTTAATATCCAGAATACACGAGGAACTCCAAGAACACAACAGCAAAAAACAAACAACCCTACTAAAAATGGGCACAAATTCTGAAGATGTTTTTCAAAGGAAGACATGCAAATGACCATCAGGTGCATGAAAACATGCTTTATGTCACTAATTATCACAAAAATGGAAATTAAACCACAATGAGATATCATCTTACTCCATTTAGAATGGCTATTTTCAAAAAGTAAAATAAAGAGATTTGTTTTGGGAAGGATGTGGAGAAAAGGGAAACTGTTGGTGGAAATGTAAATTAATACAGCCATTATGGAAAATAGTATTAACATTCCTAAAAATATTAAAAATAGAAGTACCATATGATCCAACAATCTCACTGCTAGGTACATATCCAAAGGAAATGAAATCAATATATTGAAGTGAAATCTGCACTCCCAGGTTTATTGCAGGATTATTTGCAATATTCAAGATATGGAATTAACCTGCACGCTACTCAAAGGATAAATAAATAAATAAGTTGTGGTATATTTAAATAATATAATATTATAAAGCTAAAAATAAAAAAATTCTGTCATTTGTGACAACATGGATGAACATAGAGGACATTATGTTAAATAAAATAAGGAAAACAAAGAATGACAAATACCACCTGATCTCACTCCTATGTGGACTCTAAAAAAGTTGACCTCACAGAATTAAAAATAGTGATTACCAAAGTCTGGGGAGGAAAGAAGTTAATCAATGGGTACAAAGTTACAGTTAGATAGAAGGGTAAGTTCTGATATTCTATCAGAAATTAGAGTGACTACAGTTAACAATAACATATATTGCAAAATAAGTCAAATAAATGATTTTGAATATTCTTATTACAAAAATATAATAAATCTTTGAGATGAAGTATATGCTTATTACATAATGTATATATGCATCAAAATATCACACTGTACCCCATTATTATGTGTCAATTGAAAATAAAACTTTTACAAAACCCAAACTCATAAGGAAATGTAAGAGGCTTGAAATAGTCTAAAACGATATTTAAAAATAACAAATTTGAAGGCCTCAGGGGACTCATACTCCATGGTTTAAAAATTTATTGCAAAGCTAGGATAATCAAGTCAGCATATCACTATAATAAGAAAAGACAAATGGATCACTGGAAGAATTGAGTGTCCAGAAGTAAACCCTTTGAAAATATATCATTAATAGGTTTTCAACAAGGGTGCTCATACATTTCAAAAAGGAAATAATGTTTTTTCAGTAAATGGTGCTGGGACAATTAATATCATCATGCAAAAGCATAAATTTGAAAAATTGTCTCTCACTATTACAAAAATTAACTCAAAATAGATGGTAGAGTTAATGAAAGAGCTAAGACTATAAATTTCTAGAAGAAAACATAGGCGTAAATATTTGCTGGGTTGGCCTTCCTTCTTAAGTATAACACCAGAAAGACAAGTGATAACAGTAACAGGAGAAAAATTGGACTACATCAAATTAAAAATTTGTGTTTGAGAGCACACATTAAAAAGTGAAAAGACAACTCACATACTACAAGAAAAAATCTTTTCAAATCATATCCAAAGTACGTAACTTGTATCCAAGATAGATAAAAGACTGCTATAACACAATAACCAAAAGACAAATAGCACAATTTAAAATTGTGCAGGAGATTGAATGGACATACAAATGGCAAATAAGCACATGAAAAGATGCTCAAAATTATTAATCACTAAGGAAATGCAAATCAAAATGACAATGACATACAACTCCACAATATTAGCGTGACTACTAAATAAAAGAATAATAATAACCAGTGTTAGCAATAATGTAGAGAAGTTGGAACCCTCATACATTGCTTATGGAAATGTAAAATGATGTAGCCACTTAAAGAAAACAGTTTTGCAGTTCCTCAAAATGTCAAACATATTTTCCATATGATCCAGCAATTCATTACTAGCTCTATAGCACAATAAAATAAAAATGTATAGGCACACAAAATCTTGCACGTAAGTGTTAATAACAGTATTATTAAAAATAACTTAAAAATGGAACAACGTAAATATCCACCAACAGATGAATGGAAAAACAAAATGTTGTATATCCATGCTTAATACAATGGATTATTATTCAACAATAAAAGGACTAAAAGTATTAATCCATACAACAAAATAAATGAATATTAAAAACATTATGCTACGTGAAAGAAGCCAGTCACAAAAGGTAACATAATTTTTAATTTAAATAAATTTATGGAATACAAGCACAATTTTATTATATGCATAGACTGAATAGTGGTGAAGTCAGAGTATTCAGCATATCCACTACCCAAATAATGTATATTGTACCCGTTAAGTAATTTCTTATCATTCACCTCTTCCATCCCATCACCCTTCTGAATATCCACTGTCTATCATTCCACACTCTACGTCCATGTGTGTGCATTATTTAGCTCTCATTTATAAGTGAGAAATGTGCCATTTTTCTTTCTGTCTGACTTCATTTCATAGCCTACATTTCCACCCATATTGCTGTAAGAGACATTATTTCATTTATTTTATGGCTGAATAGTATCCCATTGTGTATATACACCACATTCTTTAATCAAATTATCCATTAATGGACACTTAGGAAACATAATGTTATATGGCTACATATTAGATATGGCATTTCACTTTAGGGTAAACAAAATGTTTTAAAATTATATTGTGGTGATGGTTGTACAGCTGTGTGAATATACTAAAACCCACTGAACTCAGTACTTTGTATCAATGAATTTTATAATATGTGGTTTCCATCTTAATAAAAATGTTAAAACATACAAAGTAACAAAATATCGTTTTACTTATTTAAAAGATATATTAAAAATATGAAGGAAATTAAAGTTATATATTACCTTTCTATGAACAAAAACCTTGAAGTTGTTTTACAAAGTTATTTAATTTCCCCCTTCTATATTAAAACTATTTTTTCAGATAATGGATGTTCTTGGGCACAATTATATTTCTTTCTGTGGTGATCCTAATTTATCATTCATGTCACTCAAATGACATCTTAATTTCTAAAGCTATCACAACTTATTATGTGCCACAATCTTGCCACATTACAGGCATCAAGATCTTCAGTGGTTCAAAAAGAATCTTATTATTAATTCACTTCAATGCAAGAAGGATCTATTTTATTATTTTAATCTTCCTATATACATCTGAAAACTTACTGAGAAACATTACGTAAAATAGAGCCTATTGAATATTCAAAATACTAAACTGCCTTTTGATATTCTAAATGTAATCCTGAAGGTGCAATTTTAGCACACATACTTTCTAATCAAAAAAGATAAGTAAAGTTTAAACTAAAAACATTACCTGTAAGAACAAGCATTTGTTTCAAAGTTTCATGAAATAGCACATTCCTCAACACATTTGATATAAAAATCAATTTTCCAGTCTTTTAGTCTTATAAGATTTTCATTAATCAACTATAATAATAACTCAGTACCTGCTGAAGTATAAATATTTACAACACCATAGAAAGTCATATTTTGCTTTCATCTTCTGATATTATTAAATCTCTACCCTCTGTAAAATATTTTATCTTTTCCTTTGTCTTCCCACTCTAATTGTTTCTCCATCTTCATATAAATTATCTCAAATCAAGGGAATTCTAATTTGGAGAGAATATCACATTAATTTGGGTTAAGAGGTAAGGCAAATGCCCAACTAAAAATCAGACTAATCTTTAAAATGATAGCTGATTTTAATAAATAGGATTGCTATAAAAAGAGAGGAAGTGGAGTACAGTAGCTAAAAGTACAGATTCTGAAGCCAGTCTCAGTTCCATCAGTAACTAGCAGTGTGAATTTGGACAAGTTAATTTATCTCTTTGTGCCTCAGAAACCTCATCTGTAAAATGGAAATAATTATAAGCAACTATGTCATAGAATTATCATGAAAATTAAATGAGTATGAACAGTAATTAGAATAGTGGCTGGCTTGTGGTAAGAGCTCTATAGGTAATAGCTGATATTATCTTTAGGAAAGGCAACACCAACAAAGCTTTTGAGACCTAATAGGCATTTGTGCAGCTGTTGTTTTTCACTGGAATCTGACAATTACTTGAAATTACTTATTATCAAATAAAAGATGAACTTTGCTATTTTTTTTTTTGCTCTTACCTACCTGTTCTCTGTCACAAAAACTGTCAGGTAGGTTACAATCCAACTGCATTTTTAAATCAAGTTTGTGATGCAGATGTGTCTACTATTTCTTCCAATTCAAAAGATGGATTATTCATTTACTCCTAAGAGCAAAACTTTGGAAAAGAAAATGCATTTTATGAATTAACAATAATCAAAAAATAATATTTGGTTGGGAAATATAGGATGACAGAGATTGAATAAAATGGATTACATAAATATTTAAAATACCAGGCACCACCTGCAAAATGCCACTGTCACATGCATAGTAAATTCTTTGGGAATTGACAGTGCATTTTACTCTAGAATTAATATGGTGGTATTATTCAATGATAATTAAAGAACAATACACTCCTTCCTCCTCTACAAAGCTCTTTCATGTACCTCAGAACAAAGCACTAGGGAAAATAAGAGACAAGGAGAGAAAATGATTTTCCAATTGTGGTAGAAACCTTACTTCATAGTTGCTTCCATATTGGGATCAAATTGGGAACTATTATATACTTGATTACATTCCCAGGATTGTTTCCAGGCTACACCTACCTACTATGTCTTCCTCTGCTCCATTCTACCCTAACTCCAAACAATTAGAAATAAGCAAAATCCTTGACTAAGTGGTGCTAATGTGTTATCAGAAAATAATGATTCAATGTATTACTACATATTGTACAATGAGTTAAAATGTACGATATCAATGGAGTCTGTCTAAAGGCTAATATTTTATTCCAAATGAGTAATTCTTTTTTGAATTTTTTCAAATTTACTTATTTTTCTTAAAATTTTATTTTAAGTTCAAAGGTACAGGTGCAGGATGTGCAGGTTTGTTATACAGTTAAACATGTGCCATGGTGGTTTGTCACATGAAACATCACGTTACCTAGGTATTAAGCCCAACATCCATTAGCTATTCTTCCTCATGCTCTCCCTCCCCTCAAAACCCTCATCTGATGTGCCCCAGTGTGTGTTGTTCTGCCTTATTTGTCCATGTGTTCTCATCATTCAGCTCCCACTCATAAGTGAGACCATGCAATGTTTGATTCTCTGTTCCTGTGTTAGTTTGCTGAGGATAATGGCTTCCAACTTCATCCATGTCCCTGCAAAGGACATGATCTCACTCCTTTTTATGGCTGTATAGTATTCTCTGGTGTATATATATGACATTTTCTTCATCCAGTCTATAATTGATGGGCATTTAGTTGATTCTCCATCTTTGCTATTGTGGATAGTGCTGCAATGAACATACATGTGCATGTATCTTTATAATATAATGATTTATATTCCTTTGGGTATATATCCAGTAATGAAATTGTTGGGTCAAATGGTATTTCCGCTTCTAGGTCTTTGAGGAATCACCACACTGTCTTCCACAATGGTAAACTAATTTATACTCTCATCAAGTGTAAAAGAGCTCCTTTTTCTCCACAACCTTGCCAGCGTCTGTTGTTTTTTGACTTTTTAATAATAGCTATTATGCCTGGTGTGAAATGGTATCCCACTGTGGTTTTGATTTGTATTTCTCTCATGATCTGTGATGTTGAGCTTTTTTTCATAGGTTTGGTGGCCATATGTATGTCTTCTTTTGAGAAATATCTGCTAATGTCCTTTGCCCACTTTTGATGGTTTTGTTGTTGTTCTTGTAAATTTGTTTGGGTTTCTTATAGATCCTGGACATTAGACCTTTGTCAGATAGATCGATTAAAAAATTTTCTCCCATCTTGTAGATTGTCTCTGATGATAGTTTCTTACGCTGTGCAGAAGCTCTTTAGTTTAATTAGACCCCGTTTGTCAATTCTTTCTTTTATCCAATTGCTTTTGGTGTTTTTGTCTTAAAATCTTTGCCTGTGCATATGTCTTGAATGGTATTGCCTAGATTTTCCTGCTGGGTTTTGGGTTTTACATTTCAGCCTTTAATCAATCTTCAGTTGATTTTTGTATAAGGTGTACGGAAGGGTTCCAGTTTCAATTTTCTGCATATGGCTAGCCAGTTCTCCCAGAACTATTTATTAAATAGGGAATAATTTCCCCATTGCTTGTTTTTGTCAAGCTTATTGAAGATCAGATGCTTGTGAGATAGTCAATTATAAAGGGGTCCCCACAGGATCCCTGCAGGTCCTGTGCACTGGGAGAATAAAGCAGAACCATGGAAATTCATGCCATAAATTTGCAGAGGGGAGGAGCTGGCCTCTTGAGCTCCTGTATGGTGGAGCAGGAGACAGTTAACAGGCTTCCACCTCACTCTGCTGAAACTTTTTCACTTTTTCTTTTTTTCATCCAATAAATTCTGTTTTCCCTTACCCTTAAAAGCATCTGTAAGTGTAATCTTTCCTGTTTGTGTGACAAGAACTTAGATTTTCCTACATTTTGGTGTGCAATGTGGGGCTGGGGGAAGGGTGAGTGAGATGCAAACCAAAAAAACCTTTCTCTCTTTTGCTCCTAAGCTTCGGGTCCCGCGGATTTCTTCGGAGGGTAGAGGCAACTGTGCCCCATCCCCTATTGCTCCTGGGTGTCAGAAATGTTGGTTTCAGTCCAACCCAGCCTTTCCATGGCCTTTTCCTTCCTTTTTTGGGACAGACAGGTGAGCAGTCACTCTCCTCTTCCTGACCAGGTTGGGACAAATGGCCCAAGGGCCCTGCACGGCTAGCTGGAGTTCCCCGCCAGGCCCTCATGGAGTCTCCCCCTCTCCCAGCCAAAGAGTTCTGCTCCATTCTACAGCAATTAAACTTTTCTCCCTGGTGGAGGAACCACTTGCATAAGAATAAGAGGTTCTTTCCTCAGGAATCCTTTACCCTCTCAGGAGGTAACTTTTAAGTGACTTTTTTTTCCCCCTTTTGGAAGACATTTTTCTGGGCCAGAAATGATGTGGAGTATTACTATTTATATTGTCTGTAGAGTTTTAATTATGAAAAAGGATTTATGAGGCTGGTTTTAAGCTGTAGCCAATCTGGTGTGTTTTGCACGTCTTTCTGTACCGTCTGTAGCAAACTTCGCTTCAGGGCTCCATCTTGTTTTATGTCCTGGGGGAGTGGACTGTAACCCTATGTCTAGGCTTTGTTTAGCCTCTGCACAGCCAGGGATTCAATCCTGACTTCAGAAATGTGCCCTTTCTGATTTTATATCTGCATGACCTTTTGCTATTTGTTGATTCCCTTCCCCTCCACAAACTGCATTGGATTTTCTTTTCTCTGAATATTTAGTAAAGTTCGAAAGCCAGAAATATTGGCCGTTTGTCAAGTGATAAGGGAGTTAAAAGGATTTTCTTAAGGAGTGCTCAGATTAATTAAAAGTGGATATCCAAGTTATAGTTATATTTAAAAGGCCTTTATGTTTTTCCTTTCTTGGACCTTGTTTTGGTGGAAAAAAGAGGGTTTTTTTCAGTCAACTGAATTATTTTTCTCCATTTTTCCTTGGCACTTTTAATGAACACATGAGAGTGGAGAGTCCTCTGTTTTTCGCATGGGACCCCAGGAATTAAAAGCACCAAAAGGCCAATGGTCCAAATAGGAGATTGGCAAATAAAGGATCTTGTGGTAACTGGGTTTTGTTCTGCCTGTCTGTGTAGTTATATATGTATCATGTGTGTGATGTCTATAAAAAGAGCTCTAATTAATTGGCCTAAATGAAGATAAGCGCTTGGATGCTTGAATCAAATGTTTTTTTAGAGGGAAGATAAAAGCTGTGGTACCTTTCAGTTCACATGACTTTAATCTCTGAGAAATAAAAACAGCCTTAAACACTATTGGTAAAATGCAGATAACATCAAAATATAAATAGGTGGACTAATATATGGTCAGATCCAAGGTTTGCTAAGTCTTTTGAGGTTATAAACTGCTACTTCATTTTTGAGAACTGTTCAACCTGGTAAGGCCTGGGGACATATGGAATTAACCATGCCCCTAATTGTGCTGGGAGGAGTCAAACCTTGGATGAAGTTAGCACATAATCAAAACAACTTACCAGGTTTTACATTCAAATTAAAAATTGCTAGGAGTTACCATTATAACATGTAATTGAAATTACTGGAAATAGATTTACATGCAACATGTATAAGAATAGTAAAATCTGTTTTTAGTAAAAAATTATAGAAAGGCATAAAAATATAAATAATTGCCTAGGGTTAAATAATTGTTTTAAATTAGATAAAATAAAGCTAAAAGTTAAAACAAGGGATGGAAGGATTGTAAAATTTAATCTTGCAAAATTTCTGTGTGTGAACATATTGACTAAATTCAGAAAAGGTATTATATGGTTTTTCTGTAAATTGAGCATTAAAATAAAATCACAACAAAGTGCTCTTAAGCACAACAAAGTGCACAAAAAAGCACAACAAAGTGCTCTTAAGGCACTAATCTGCACTTTGGCAAAATTTGTAAAGGGTTATAAAAGGGATTTCTGCTTTTTATGTTCTTGAGTCATCATTTTGCAAAATAAATAATTATGGTAATCTGGAATTCTATTTCATAGCATCAAGTGTTTTAAATTTCCAACATATTTAACATGATTCCCAAAATAAAACTGTAGGTTCAAAATCATCTTTCTTGACACCTGTCTTTTTGAAGGCTTTGGAGGGCCCCTGGAGCCTCTAGAAGAGAGAAAAACAGGATTATTTGACATATTTAGTTATATGAGATTACCAAAATAGTGTACAATCTACTTTAAGTTATATTTTGGTGAATAATACTAATATGGTCCAAAATTGTACAGGATTTCTGAAATTCTAATGTCTACGTATATTCTATTAATCATAATTAAGTTTATTATGTTAAGTTATTGTAAACCATGGAAATAACCAAACTACTTTGTCAATTGTATTTCTAACTGTAACTACCCTGGACATATTGTAATTCACAGACAATTTTTGTCTTGGTTTAATCCTTTTCAAAAGATGGTTTATAACAAACTATAGGACTCTGACAGGTGCTCTTAAATACAGGTTTCTCACCAGAGGTACAAAAAGGAACCTGTACCATTTATACTGAAACTATTCCAAACAATTGAAAAGACCTTGTGACTTAAGGAAATATCAGTGCTAGTTGGGCAGTACTCCTCATAGCCAGGGGTGGCTATGGCTATGGGGTGAGGCTCTTCTGCCTTTGAAAACAGGAGCAAAAAGTGAGAAGGATTGTATATTGTGGTTTGAGTGCCAGCTCAGCCACAATTCAATAGAATACAAGGTAGACTTCTAAGGTTTTTGACTCTAGTCCTTGACACCCAGATGGCACTTCTGGATCACTTGGAGCCTGGAAGACTTCACTGCCCTGAAGGAAAATACACAGGCCTGGTTGGCTTTGCCACCTGATGATTGTAGAGCACCTGGGCCTTGAGCAAACATAGGCAGTGGGAAGTGGTTATAGCAGGACTTAGATGAGACCAATTGCTGTGCTGGCTTAGGTCTATTTCAGTCAATTCATAGTGGTTGTGGTCACAGGAGTGCTTGTGTCACTCCACATCTAGATTTAGGAACTCAGAAAAAAACAGAGACACTTTGTTGGTTTTGGACAATGGAAAAAAAAGAACAAGAATTTCTGCCTGGCAATCCAGAGGACTTTCTTGAATTTTGTCCAAGACTATTAAGGTAGTACCTCTATGAATCTGCAACAATCATATTCTAATGATAATGGAGTTCCCCTTAAAGCAAAAATATCTTAGATCACAACAACCAAGTCCTTTCAAATATCTGGAAAGCCTTACTATGAAGGATAATTACAAATAAGCCCAGAGAGTGAAGACTAAAATAAATACCAATTTCTTCAATGCCCAGACACCAAAGAACATCTACTAGTGTATCAACACCATCCAGGAAAACGTGACCTCACCAAATGAACTAAATAAGCCACCAGAGACAAATCCAATGATATGTGACCTTTGAGATAGAGAATTCAAAGTAGCTGTGTTGAGAAAACTCAAATAAATTCAAGATAACACAGAGAAAAAATTCAGAATTCTATCAGTTAAATTTAACAAAAAGATTAAAATAATTAGAAAGAATCAAACAAAAATTCTGGAGCTGAAAATGCAATTGGCATACTGAAAAATGCATCAGAATCCTTTAATAACAGAATGGATCATGCAGAAACAAAAATTACTGAACTTAAAACCAGGCTATTTGAAAATACACAGTCATAGGAGACAAAAGAAAAAAAGAATAAAAATAATAAAGCATGCCCACAGGATCTAAAAAATAGTCAAAAAAGGGCATATCTAAGAGTTATTGCCCATATAGAGGAGGTAGAGAAAAAGGTAGGTGTAGCGTAGCATGTTTATCCAAAAGGATAATAACAAGGGACTTACAAAATCTAGAGAAAAATATCAAAATTTAAATGCAAGAAGGTTATAGAAAATCAGGCAGATTTGACCCAAAGAAGACTGCCTCAAGGCATTTCATGGTCAAACTCTCAGAGATCAAAATAAAGAAAGGATATTAAAGCAGCAAGAGAAAAAAAACAAATAACCCACTATGAAGCTCCAATACATCTGGCAGCAGAGTTTTTAGTGGAAACATTACAGGCCAGGAGAGAGTGGCATGGCATATTTAAAGTGCTGAAAAAAAATCCTTTTACTTTAAAATAGTATATCACTTGAAAATATCTTTAAAACATGCAGGAAAAATAAAGTCATTTCCAGACAAACAAAAGCTGAGGGAGTTTATCAATACCAGACCCATCCTACAAGAAATACTAAAGGGAGTACTTTAATCAGAAAGTAAAGGACATTAAGGAGAAATAAATAATCACCTGAATGTGCAAAACTTACTGTTAATAGTAGGTACACAGAAAAACACAGAATATTATAACACTGTAACTATTCTGTGTAAACTATTCTTATCCTAAGTAGAAAGACTAAATGATGAAACAATTAAAAATAATAACTACAACTGTTCAAGACATAGTACAATAAGACACAAATAGAAACAGCAAAAAGCTAAAAAGGGGGATAAAGTGAATGCAAGTTTTATTAGTTTTCTTTTTGCTTGTTTGTTTATGTAGAGTGTTAAGTTATTATCAGGTTAAAGTAATGGATTGTAACATAGTATTTCCAAGCCTCATGGTAACCTGAAACAAAAAAAATATACAATGGATAAACACACACACACACACACACACACACACGCACACACACAAAGACATTAAATCCAATCACTAAAAAAATCACTTGTATTAAAGGAAAACAGGAAGGAAAAAAGAAGAAAAAGATCACAAATCAACCAGAAAACAAATAACAATATGGCATAATTAAGTCTTTTCTTATCAATAACAACATTGAATGTAGATGGACTAAACTCTACAATCAAAAGATTTACAGTAGCTGAGTAGGTAAAAAAACAAGACCCATTGATCTGTCACTGACAAGAAACACACTTCACATATAAAGACACAAATAGGCTGAAAATAAAAAGATGGAAAAGATATTCAATGCCAATGGAAACCAAAAAAAATAAATAAATAAGGAGCAGGCCTTACTATGCTTATAACAGACAAAATGGATTTCAAGACAAAAACTATAAGAGACAAACAAGGTCACTATATAATAATATGGGGTCAATTCTGCAAGAGGATATCATAATTTTAAATATATATGCACCCAACACTGGAGTCCCGAGATATGTAAAGAGATACCATATAATAGAGATGTAGGCCTCAGTTCAAATGTCTTTAACACTCTACTTTCAGCATTAGACAAATCTTTCAGACAGAAAATCAAGAAAGAAACATCAGAGTTAATCTTCACTATAGAACAAATGGATCTAATAGATATTTACAGAACATTTCATCCAGGATCTATAGAATGCACATTTTTTTTTCTGCAGCACATAGATTATTCTCAATTATAGACCATATGTTAAGACACAAAACAAGCCTTAAAACATTCAAGAACTTGACATAATATCTAGCATTTTCTTTGACCACAATGCAATAAAATTTGGGATTAATAACAAGAGGAATTTTGAAAACTATACAAATACATACAAATTAAACAATATGCTCCTGAATGACCAGTGGGTCAATGAAGAAACTCAGAAGAAAGGTAAAAAATTTCTTGAAAAGCCGGGCATGGTGGCTCACGCCTGTAATCCCAGCTCTTTGGGAGGCTGAGGCGGGTGGATCATTTGAGGTCAGGAGTTCAAGACCAGCCTGGCCAACATGGTGAAACCCTGTCTCTACTAAAAATACAAAAATTACCCAGGTGTGGTGGCATGTGCCTGTAGTCCCAGCTACCCGGGAGGCTGAGGCAGGAGAATTGCTTGAACCCGGGAGGTGGAGGTTGCAGTGAGCCGAAATCGTGCCACTGCATTCCAGCCTGGGTGACAGAGCAAGACTCCATCTCAAAATAAATAAATAAATAAATAAAATTATTGAAACAAATAATGGAAATACAAAATACGAAAACCTATAGGATACAGCAAAAACAGTACTCAGGGAAAGGTTTACAAGTATCTACATCAAAAAAGAGAAAGAACTTTAAATAAACAATTTAAGAATGCATCTTAAAGAACCAGATAAGCAAGAGCCAACCAAACCCAAAATTAGTAGAAGAAAAAAATATATATCAGAGCAAAAATCAAAAAAATTAAAATGGAAAAAAATACAAAAGACCAATGAAACAAAAAGTTTGGTTTTTGAAAAGTTAGACAAAACTGACGACCCTTTAACCAGACTAAGAACAATAAAAGGAAGATCCAAATAAATATAATGAGAAATTTTAAAAGGAGATGTTTTAAGTGATATTGCAGCAATTGAAAGGATCATTATTGGCTACTATGAGCAACTCTATGTTAATACACTGGAATATCTAGAAGAAATAAATTTCTAGATTCATTCAACCTACCAAGATTGAACCAGGAAGAAATCCCAAACTGGAATATGCTGATAACAAGAAATGATATCAAAGCCATAATAAATAGTCTCCCATTAAGGAAAAGCCCAAGACCCAGTGGTTTCACTGCTGAATTCTAAATTTAAAGAAGTATGAACAACAATTCACTCAATCTATTTCAAAAGACAGAGGGGCAGAACATACTTTCAGACTCATTCTACCAAGCCAGTATTACCCTGATACCAAAATCAGACAAAGATACATCAAGAAAAGGAAACAGGCCAATATCTCTGAAGAAAATTAATGCAAAAATCCTCAACAAAATACTAGCAAACTAATTAAAAATACATTAGAAAAATCATTTATTATGACCAAATGGAATTTATCCCAGGATAAAAGGATAGTTCAACATATGCAGATCAATCAGTGTTATACATCATATTAATAGAATAAAGGGTAAAAGCCATATGATCGTTTGAATTGATGCTAAAAATGCACTTGATAAAATTAAACATGGCTTCATGATAAATATCCCCAAAAACCTTGGAATGGAAGGAACATACTTCAACAAAATAAAAGCTATATATGACAGAATCACAGCTAGTATCATATTTAATGGCAAAAATTGAAAAACTTTTCTCTAAGACCTGAGAGACAACAAGGATATCCATGGTCACTACTGTTTTTCAACATAGCACTGAAAGTCTTAGCTAGAGCAATTAGACAATAGAAAGATATGAAGGACATCCAAATTGGAAAGGAAGAAGACAAGTTATCCTGGTTTGCAGATGATATCATCTCATATTTGGAAAAAACCTAAAGACTACACAAGAAAACTGTTAGAAATGATAAACAAATTCAGTAAAGTTGCAGAATACAAAATTGGCATAAAAAATCAGTAGCATTTCTATATTAAAGCAGTCAACAATGTGAAAAAGAAATAAAAGATAATTCCATTTACAATAGCCACATGTAAAATTAAATACCTAGGAATTAACCAATAAAGTGAAAGGTCTCTATGATAAAAACTATAAAATGATGATGAAAAACAATTGAAGAGAACACCAGAAATGAAACAATATTCCATGTTCATAGATTGGTATAATCAACATTGTTAAAATGTCTGTACTATGCACAGCATTCTACAGATTCAATACCTATGAAAATACCAATATCATTCTTTACAGAAATAGAAAAAACTCTAAAATTTACATGGAACCACGAAAGTCCCAGAATAGCTAAAGCTATACTAAGCAAAAGAACAAAATAGGAGTAATCACATTACCTGACTTCATATTATACTATGGCGCTATAGTAATCAAAATGGCATGGTACTGGCGTAAAAACAGACACATAGACCAATAGAATAGAAACCCAGAAACAAATCCACACACCTACAGAGAACTCATTTTCGACAAAGGTACCAAGAACATACACTGAGGAAGCTATAGTCTTTTCAGTATATGGTGCTGAGAAACCTGGATATCCATATGCCAAAGAATAAAACTAGACTCCTATCTTTTGCCATACACATAAATCAAATCAAAATGGATTAAAGACTTAAATCTAAGACTTAATACTATAAAATTGCTAATAGGAAACATTGGGAAAACTCTCCAAAACATTGGTCTGGGCAAAATTTCTCGAGTAATACTCCACAAGCATAGGCAAGCAAAGAAAAAAAAATGGACTAATGGTATCACATCAAGTTAAAAAGCTTCTTCACAGCAAAAAATGCAATTAACAAAGAGAAGAAACAACCCATAGAATGAAAGAAAAATATTTGCAAACTACCCATCAGACAAGACTTTAATAACCAGAATATATAAGGATCTCAAACAATTCTGTAAGAAAATATCTAATAATCCAATCAAATCATGGGCTAAAGATTTGAATAGGCATTTCTTATAAGAAGACATATAAATGAAAAAGTCATATGAAAAGCTACTCAATGTCATTGATCATCAGGGAAAGGCAAATAAAAACTATAATGCAATATCTTAACACCCAAATTAAAATGGCTTATATCCAAAGACAGACAGTAACAAATGCTGGTGATGATGTGGAGAAAAGCGAACCCTTGTACACTCTTGTTGGGAATATAAGTACAACCACTATGAAGAACAGTTTGGCGGTTCCTCAATAAACTAAAAATTGAGCTATCATATGATCAGGAAATCCCACTGCTGGGTATATATCAAAAAGAAAGGAAATTGTTATATCAAGATATATCTGCACTTCTATGTTTGTTGCAGTACTATTCACAGTAGCTAAGATTTGGAAGCAAACTAAGTGTCCATCAACAGAAGACCGGATAAAGAAAATGCGGTTCATATACACAATGGTTTACTATTCATACAGCCATAAGAAAAGAATGCAATCCAGTCATTTGCCGCAACATGGATGGAACTGGAGATCATTGTGTTACATGAAATAAGCCAGGCACAGAAAGGCAAACATCACACTTTCTTACTTATTTTTTGAATCTACAAATAAAAACAATTAAACTAATGGACATAGAAAGTAGGAGAATGGCTACCAGAAGCTAGGAAGAATAGTAGGGGGCTGGGCAGGAGGTGTGAATGGCTAATGGGTACAAAAAGTTAGAAAGAATGAAGACAACCTACTATTGATAGCACAATGGAGTGACTATAGTTAATAATAACTATGTATTTTAAAATAAAGAGAGTAATTGGAATGTTTAAACTTAATAGATACATGCTCAATAGGATGGATACCCCATTCTTCATGATGTGTTTATTTCACATTGCATGCCTGTATCAAAATAGTACATGTACCCCATAATATGTACACCTACAATGTACTCACAGAATTTAAAAATTAAGAGGCTCCATTAAGAATATAAATAAGCAATCTCAATATTGGGAGAAAATTTTTGTAAAATAAATATCTGACAAAGGACTGATGTCAAGGATCTAAAAAGAACTCTAACAATTCAATAATAAAAGTACAAACAACCAAAGTTTTTAAAATGGGCAAAAGTTTTTAATAAATATATGAAAGGATGAAAAGCACATGCAAAATTGCTTAACATATCTCATTATCACCAAAATGTAAATTAAAGTTACAATGAAATTCCACTATATACCCGTCAGGATAACTAAAATTTTAGTCTGACAATACCAAATATTGGTGAGAATATAGAGTAACAAGAATTTTCACACATTATATTTTCTACTGGAGTATGGTATGATACAATTAGTTTGGAAGTTTCTTCTAAATATAAACATGCATCCTTCTCCATAATCTCTTTCCTGGATATACCCAAAGATAAATGAAAACATATGCCCACAAAAAGACATTATAAAATGTTCATAGAAATTTTATCCATAGCTTTAAACTAGAAACAACAACAAGGTCCATAGAAAAGAATGGATAAACTGTAGTGTATTCATACAGTGGGATGCTGCATAACAGTATAAAACAAAAAAATTAAAAACTAATATTAAAAAATTGATATAAAACATTATGTTGAGTCAAAAAGGCCTCACACAAAACAGCATACTATGTCAAATTCCACTTCCAAAATTGGTAAAACTAATGTGAGGTGGAAAATTATCAGAACTGTGGTTGCCTCCTGGTAAGAGGCGGGAATGTAGCGGAGGAGTCATCAGGGTTTGCTAAGCATGAGCATGAGGGACTTCCTCGAGTGAGAGTAATATTCTATATCTTCATATGGATTTTGGTTAAACAGGTGTGTCTATTTGTCAAAACTCACAGAATGATACACTATAAGACACTTAAGTTTGGTGCATTTCATTTTTGTAAATTTATCTACAAAATTGAACCAAAACTAGTATTGTTTCATTAGTGACATGTTTGTTAAAGTATTCGGAATAAATTATACTGTTTTCTGCAACTTTGAAGTGCATGATAAAAAATAAAATAGATTATTGGGTAGATAAAGAAATGGATAGACAGATGTGTACAAAAGCAAATATAGTAATATATTATTTGTAGAATGTAGGTGGTATTTATATGGATGTCTACAATTCTTTCAACGTTTTGTTATGTTCAAAAATTTACATAATCAAACATTGGGGGAAAAAAATTAAGTCTTTACAGTGGCCCACTATCTATTCAATCTGTTCCGCCACTATTTCCTCTTAGATCTCACCTTCTATTACTCTATTCCATGCCCCTTTCCTCCTCCTACACCTTTCCTCAGCCACATTGGCTGCCTTGTTATTCTTGAAACACATCGAGCATGAATCTCTCTTATAGTCTTTGACTTTTATATCCTCTACTTAGAACACACTACTAGATAACCACATTGTTCAAAGCCTGATCACTCACCTTCCTTAGCTCTTTGCTTAATTTACCTTTGCATTGAGGACTTTCCCTAACATTCAAACTTGTCCGCGAGCACCTGATCCTGGTTCCTCACTTTATTTATCTCTATAGTACTTATTACCATCTGACATTCTGTGTATTTCACGTATTTATTTGTTGATTCAAAAGCAGTGAGGGCAGAAATTTGTGTCTATTTTCTTTCTGGCATGTTGAACAATACCTGGCACATAATGTGTGTTCAGTAAATATTTGTTAAGGGAATGAATTAGACTTGTAAATGAGCTGAATAAGTGGTAATGATGAAATTGAATAGGCCCAGCTGTATAACTTTTAAAAACAAATACTTAAGTACAGGCAGGGGGAAATAACAATGGCTGCAAAAAAAATGACAAAGGAATTTTAGTTAAATCAGTTAACATATATAAAACACGTAGAAAAGTGTCTGCATGTAGTAAATACTATGTAATTGTGATTATTTTTATTATTTGGGTAGAAAGTACAATCTTGCATTAACAGTGTGATAGGGGATTTCTAAAAGAAAACATAAATTCCATCTTAGGCCACGTTTAAAAGAGTATAGCATTTAGAATAAGGGATGTTACAAAGTCCCTGCTGGCCACCACATTTCTGAGAATCAATAAAGTTCTGAGTACCTAATTAAAAATGAGCATGGATATCGTGTACTATATTTACACCAGAAGAAATATAATGATAAGGGGAACTAAGAGTATTTATCTGAGGAAGAGAATACTGCT
This sequence comes from Homo sapiens, assembly GCF_000001405.40. NCBI lineage: Eukaryota > Metazoa > Chordata > Mammalia > Primates > Hominidae > Homo > Homo sapiens. The sequence continues at coordinate 84,647,819 of NC_000023.11, read as the reverse complement.
GTATTGAAATATCTGAAGAACAGTCATGTGGAATAATGATTACATTATAGTTCTCTCGACCCCTAGCAGCTGAAATAAGAACAATGGGTGAACACTGTAGAATAACATATTTATATCAAGAAAGGATTTTCTTACAGTAAGAACTATCTAAGTATATGATCTGGTTTCAAGGTGGATAGAATGTCCTCAACTGCAAGTATTAAAGCATTGACTATGCAAATGTGTGACATAAAGGAAAGAACATGAGTTTTACTGTCACAATAACCTGAATCCAAATTCCATATGTGCAACTTACTTGTATCACTTTGAGCAATTGACTTAAACTCTAAGCCTCAGTGTCCTCATCTGAAAAATGTATTTCAACATCGTAGGCATTATGAGAATAAAATGAAATTAAATGAATGTTAAGAACCAAACACTATATTTGGCACACATTAGGCCCTCTCTAATATGTGAGAGGTGATTCAAACATCGAGTTTATGGTTGGACTAAAACTAAAGTGCCTTCCAAGCCTAAGAATTTGCGATTTCATAATATTATTCATGTTAATTGAGGTATACTGAAAATTGGATCCCAGAACTGACATCTGAGATAGTATGTAAACAATTTGTGTTTTTCTAAGGAGAAGAAAATATTAGCATCCAATAATAGGCATGTAGAAATTTGAAACAGAACATGACCCTGTAGAGAAAGACAGACTTTCCTTTCTTCCTCATGTCCATCCATCACATAATTTCAATAACATTTCTGAAGAAGTATGTCTTAGAGAGAAGACACAGTTATAATTGTAAAGCCTGAGTAATGTTAATGTAGCCACAGACACATACAACTCCCTCTAGAATTTAGTTGTTTTTATTAGTTTTTGAAAGCTGACATGTTTGAATAAAACGCACATTCTCTATGTCAATGAACATTTCCTGTATTTCACATCAACATTTTACTTTCAGGTCTTATATGCAGCAGTGAGAGAGAAAAACGGAGCAAGAAAAAATAGAAATGATTATGAAGAAAAAATGTGAAGGATAAAGAAAAATAAAACGGGAAGGGAGGGCAAAAGGTGCTAGTACAAAACAGGGTAAAATATATAGAAAACATTATGTAATCATTAATGTATGCTTATTAAACACCATTAAGAAAGAGCATTTTAAAATCTACCTCTCCATATTTAGTAAGTAAAGTCTTCTAAAAATCTTAACATTTGTTCAACTTGTGTAACATATAGGTACTATCACTTTGCTGTCTGTACAAGCATAAAAAATGTAATGAAATAAAGTCTTTTTCATGATTTTTAAAATAGAATAATTTCAAACACAATATCTCCTCTGAATTGACAAGAAAACTGCAATGATGATTTATGGCAGATACATAATGTGGAGCCACTTCATTTTCAACTGTAACTTTTGTGGCTACTAGATTTTTATTAAAGCCAGATTCAGCTCATATGTAACTAAAACAAATGCTTCAAGAGCAAAGTTGCCTGCTGCTAGGAAATCTGTCAAGTAACCTCTTTCCTCTTTTTTCTTTTTATACTCCAGTCTCCCTTCTATGAACTCAATGTCTTATGCTTTATTTCAACTTGCCCTTAACAAACTCTGTCCTTCACAAAGGACCCAAGAAACTTTCTTTCAGTTAAAAGGAAAACATGAGTTACTTAACGTTGAACATCTCACAGGACAATTTTCATTTTGACAATGAACAAGGCTTAAAGCCAAAGCAATTACTTTCAAGCATCAGCGAACTGAAAAATGAGATAGTTTCTAAGGCAAAGAGGTCTTCTCTCCCATATACAATACTATGTTAAAAATGAAATTGATATAAGATATTTTCTTTTGGTATGAAACACTTGGTAAGCAATGGACAAAACAATAAAGAAACGAAACAAAACACTCTTAAGACTTCTACAATTATATGAGTGTTTCAGCCTCTTAAACTTCCTTCAAATGAATACTAGCTTGGTGTAGAAAGGGATGCATATAGTAAATTAAATTTCTAACTGTATCATCCACATCTAAAATATGTCAGGAAATCTTGTAAGTCTATAGAGCTTTATCAAATTATTTTTCTAAACAAAGGGTGCACATGCATACCCAAGGCAATGGGTGTAAGCTCAAGATCTGTTGGTAGGAAAAAACTATTTTCCCAACAGCAGCATTTTTATAAAGATAAATTTCTCTGTGCCAACAAATCATCTCAAAGAATTTTGACTTATAAAGTATATTCAGGCCTGTTCTCTTAGGTAATTAATAACCCCAAAGAGCAGTTATAGCCTCTGCCAAACACAAGTTTTACATAGAAAATTATTTCTTAGGGGAAGAGTGTTCCAAATTAGAAATGTAAATAAAGGGACTTTTTATTTTTCTTCAGAATATGTTAAAAAAAACTACTGCTCACATTTTCCCATTATAGTGTACCTCCTTCACTGGGTTCATGGTTTATTTTTTATCTCATACTGTAAAATATTATCTTCTGTAAGACACATTTAATTGTTTTCCTTGTTTCATACAATTTGTTTCTTTGTTACAAAAGAATAAACCAAAATTTGCTTTAATCATTAGCTACATATGTACATCTCTTTAGTTTTACTATGAGCACTAAAGGAGATATAATTATTTAGTACTGTAGTATCAAGAAGAATGTAGTGGTTATAAAATATTTTATTGGATAAAACAAAATCTTAAAAGGCCACTTACCACATCTATCATATCAGATTCCATTTCATGGCTGAGATCAGACTACAAGAAAAAGGAAAAAGGAGTTATTGTCTGTTGACACAAAATCTGTTGTTTATTTAAGGTTACAAACTAAATATTTAATGTTAATACAAGTATGTTTCAAATAATCTATTATTTATAAGTTACAGACAGGCATTCTTCAGAATTGAAGAGAACAGCCAATCTAACAATCTCTGTCTTTTAACAGATGGCTTTTATCCATTTATTTATTTTCATTCTGATACATTTGGATTTATTCTACCATCTGACTGTATGTCTTCTATGTACTATGTTGTTATTCTTGTCCCACTTTCCTCCCCCTCCCTGCATTCTATTAAATCACATTTTCTTCATTCTCTTCATTTTCCCATCTATTGTTTAAGACATTGCACATTCTATTTATGTACCTTTAACCTGAAAGTTTTAACTACACAACAGACATAATCTGGTTCATCAATACATATATACTTCTCTGATCAATACAATAACTTGAACCCCTTATAATCCAATCTCTTCTCTTCCACCTTTTTTATTGCCATTGTCCAATATTATAGTTCCATCTTTTCCTCACCTGCCAAAGTTAGTCTTCTTTAACTGCCAAAGCTTATAAACAACATTTTAATGATTTTCCTGATCACCATAGCTTCTTTTAATATAACTTCATTTATTTTATAATAAATAACTTACAAGTGCACCACTCACAAATATACAGCTTGATGGTATTTATACATATGTATATAACTGCATGACCAAAACAGAAGTAAGAATGTAGAACTTTTCCAGCACCCCATAAGATTCTCTCATACTCCTTCCCAGTCTATAACCCAGTTGGTAAACAAAATTCTAAATTATCTCATAATTATATTTTTCTGTTTTGAAATTTATATAAATGACTATATACAGTATGTGTTTGTCTCTGGCTTCCTCCACTTACCATACTTTCTGTAAAAGTCATTCAGGTTGTTGAACACTACCTATATTCAGTTTGACATGATATATCCTTTAAAATTGTTTTCAGGTGCAATACTTCTGTGTCCTTATATTTAGAATATATCTCTTATAAAATTATTTAGATCAATTTTAATACAGCATTACAATCTTTGTGTTTTAAATGAAGTGTTAAGCTATTTAAATTTAAGGTAATTGCTGATGTAGTTGAATTTTCATCTATTATAATATCTGTTTCTTGCCCCATCTTTTCTTCGTTCATTTTTTTCTCTTTCCTGTTTTATTTTTGATTACATATTTTTATTGCTGTTTCTTCTCATCTATTAGGTTTTATTATTCTTCCCATGAATAATATACAGCAGATTTTTAAAGTATGTTTTGGAAAACTCTTTGTGTCCCAGGATCTTTTCAGGGGGTTCATGAGGTCAAAACTATTTTCATAATATTAAAAGAGTGTTTTCCTTTTAAATTCTCATTTTTATGTATATACAGTGGAATATTACAGTGCTATAACACGTGATATCACAATTTATTAAATGTGAAAGCAAATATGAATAACCAGCTGTATTCTATTAAACCAGAATTAAAGGCATTCGAAAAATATTTAAAAATGCAACTTTTAAATTTTTGTTCAGTTTCATAAAATAGTTATTTTTCATAAAAATATGCTATTTATGTTAACATGCGATGGATTTATTATTGCTACATCTAAATGAATTAATAAATTACTTGAAAACATATGGAAGCTGTCAAAAGATTTAACTCACATAAGCAAATCCTCTTTAGTTGTTTTTTGATTTCAAATTTTATTTTAGACTATGGGGGTACATGTGCAGGTTGGTTACATTGGTATATTGCATGATGCTGAGGTTTGGGGTATGTGTCTCGATACCAGGTAGTGAGCATAGTACCCAATAGGTAGTTTTTCAAACCTCGCTCCATTCCCTCCTTCCTGCCGCTAGTAGTTTCAACTGTCTGTTGTTGCCACCTTTATATCCATGAGTACCCTATGCTTAGCTCCCACTTATAGGTGAAAATATGCCGTATTTGTTTTTCTGTTCTTGTGTTAATTTGCTTAGAATAATGGCCTCTGGCTGCATCCATGTTGCTGCAAAGAACATTATTTCATTATTTTTTTATTGCTGTATAATATTCTATGGTGTATACATACCACATTTTCTTTATCCAATTCACAACTGATGGGCACCTAGGATGATTCCATGTTTTTGCTATTGTAAATAGTGCTGTGAAGAACATACAAATACATATGTCTTTTTGGTAGAAGAATTTATTTTCTTTGGTATATATACTGAATAGTGGGATTGCTGGGTGGAATGGTAGTTATGTTTTAGGTTCTTCGAGAAATTCCCAAACTGCTTTCCACAGAGGCTGAACTACTTTACATTCCCAACACTGCATAAACATTCCCTTTTCTCTGCAACCGTACCAGCATCTGTTATTTTCTGACATTTTAATAATGCCCACTCTGACTGGTGTAAGATGGTATCACATTGTGGTTTAAATTTGCATTTCTCTGATGATTAGTAATGTGAAGTGTTTTTTCATACGTTTGTTGGCCACTTTTATGTCTTCTTTTGAGAAATGTCTGTTCATGTCTTTTGCCCACTTTTTATTTTACTTTTTGAAACAGTCTTACTCTGCACCCAGGTTGGGGTGTACTGGCGTGATCTCAACTCACTGCAACCTCTGCCTCCTGGGTTGAAGTGATTATCGAGCCTCAGCCTCTGGAGTAAATGGGATTACAAACATGCACCACGATGCCCAGGTAGTTTTTGTACTTTTAGTAGAGACGGGTTTCTTCATGTTGGCCAGGCTGGTCTGAAATTCCAGCCTCAAGTGATCCACAAGCTTCAGTCTCTCAAAATGCTAAAATTACAGGCGTAAGCCACTGCACCTAGCGCCTTTGGCCCACTCTTTAATGGGGCTATTTATTTGTTGTGTTGCTTGTTGAATTGTTTAAGTTCCTTATAGATTCTGAATATTAGGCTTTTGTCAGATACATAGTTTATGAATATGTTCTTCCATTTTGTATGTTGCCTGTTTATTCTGTTGATAGTTTATTTCACCATTCAGAAGCTCTTTAGTTTGCTTAGGTTCCACTTGTCTATTTTTGTTTTTGTTGCCATTGCTTTTGGGGACTGTATTAGTCCATTTTCATACTGCTGTAAAGACATACTGGAGACTGGGCAATTTATAAAGGAAAAAGGTTTAATTGACTCACAGTTCCACATGTCCGGGGAGGCCTCAAGAAACTTACAATTATAACAGAAAGGGAAGCAGGCAACTTCTTCATCAGGCGGCAGGAGAAAGAGAGAGTGTAGGAGGAACTGTCAAACACTTATAAAACCATCAGATTTCACGAGAACTTACCATCACAAGAACAGCATGGAGGAAGCCACTCCCATGATTCAATCACCCCCCACCAGGTTATGCTCTTGACATGTGGAGATTAAGAAAATTACAATTTGAGATGAGATTTGAGTGAAGACACAGAGCCAAACCATATCAGGGAAATAGCCAAAAATTCTTTGCCAAGACCAATGTTGTGAAAGGTATTTCCTAGATTTTCTTTTAGGTTTCTTACAGTTTGAGATCTTAAATTTAAATCTTTAATCTATCTTGAGTTAATTTTTGTATACAGTGAAAGGTAGGAGTCCAGTTTCATTCTTCTGCATATGGCTTAGCCAGCTATCCCAGCACCACTTATTGAATAGAGAATTCTTTCCCCATTGCTTATTTTTGTCAACTTTGTCAAAGATCTGTAGATTTGTGGCTTTATTTCCGGGTTCTCTATTCTGTTCCATTGGTCTATTTATCTGTACTTGAATCAGTACTGTGCTGTTTTGGTTACTATAATCTTATAGTATAATTTGAAGTCAGGTAGTGTGATGCCTCTGGCTTTGTTCTTTTTGCTTAAAATTGCTTTGAATGTGTGGGCTCTTTTTTGGTTCCATATGAATTTTAGAATAGTTTGTTCTAATTCTGTAAAATGACATTGATAGTTTAATAGGAATTGCATTAAATCTGTAGATTGCTTTGGACTGTCTGGCCATTTTGTTTTCATTTGCATCAAATTTTATTTTATTTTATTTTTATTTCAATAGGTTACTGGAGAATAGGTGATGCGTGGTTACATGCATAAGTTCTTTAGTGGTGATTTCCAAGATTTTGGTGTACTCATCACCTGAGCAGTGTACACTGTAACCAATGGTGATTTCCAAGATTTTTGTGTACTCATCACCTGAGCAGTGTACACTGTAACCAATGTGCAGTCTTTTATCCCTCACCCCTTTCCACCCTTACCCCGATCCCCCAACGTTTATTGTATTATTTTTGTGTCTTTGCATCTTCGTAACTTACCTCCCACTTACAAGTGAGAAAATACGATCTTTGATTTTCAATTCTTGAGTTACTTCACTTAAAATAATGGTCTCCAACTCTATCCAGGTTGCTGCAAATGCCGTTATTTCATTCCATTTTATGGCTGAGTGGTATTCCATGGTATCTATATGCCAGATTTTCTTAATTCACTCATTGATTGATGGGCATTTGGACTCATTCCATATTTTTGCAATTGTGAATTGTACTGCTATAGACATGCATATGCAAGAACCTTTTTCATATAATGACTTCTTTCTCTCTGGGTAGATTCCCAGGAGTGGGATGGCTGGATCAAATAATAGATGTACTTTAAGTTCACCAAGGAATATCCATACTGTTTTCCATAATGGTTATACTAGTTTACATTCCCATCAGCACTGTAAAATTGTTCCCTTTTCACCACATCCACGCCAACATCTATTATTTTTTGATTTTTAAATTATGGCCATTCTTGCAGGAGTAAGGTGGTATTGCATTGCAGTTTTGATTTACATTTTTCTGATAATTAGTGATGTTTAGCATTTTTTTATGTTTGTTGGCCCTTTGTATATTTTCTTTTCAAAATTGTCTACTCATGTCCTTTGCCCACTTTTTGATGACATTATTTTTTTTCTTGCTGATTTCTTTGAGTTCTTTGTAGATTCTGGATATTAGTTCTTTGTCAAATGTGTAGTTTGTGAAGATTTTCTCACTCTATGTGGGTTGTCTGTTACTCCGCTAATTATTTCTTTTGTGTTGCAGAAGGTTTTTAATTAAGTCCCCTGTATTTATCTTTGTTTTCGTTGCATTTGTTTTCGGGTTCTTGGTCATGAAGTCTTTGCCTAAGCCAATGTCTAGAAGAGTTTTTCTGATGTTGCCTTCCAGAATCTTTATGCTTTGAGGTCTTGTATTTAAGTCTTTGATCCATTTTGAGTTGATTTTTGTATAATAGATGAGAGATCAGGATCCAGTTTCATTCTTCTACATGTGGCTTGCCAATTATCCCAGCGCCATTTGTTGAATAATAGTCTTTTATTTCATTTTATATTTTTGTTTGCCTTGTCAAAGATCAGTTGGCTGTAAGTATTTGGCTTTATTTCTGTGTTCTCTATTCTGTTCAATTGGTCTATGCGCCTTTTATTATACCAGTACCATGATGTTTTGGTGACTATAGCCTTGTAGTATAGTTTGAAATCAGGTGATCTGATGCCTACAGATTTGTTATTTTTGCTTAGTCTTGCTTTGGCTATGCAGGCTCTTTTTTGGTTCCATATGAATTTTAGGATTGTTTTTTCTAGTTCTGTGAAGAATGATGATGATGGTATTTTGATGGAGATTGTGTTGAATTTGTAGATTGCTTTTGGCAGTATGGTCATTTTCACAATATTGATTCTACCTATTCATGAGTATGAGGTGTGTTTTCACTTTTTTGTGCCATCTATGATTTCTTTCAGCAGTGTTTTATGGTTTTCCTTGTAGAGGTCTTTCACCTCTTTGATTAAGTACACTCCTAAGTATTTTGCTTCTTTTGTGCAGCTATCGTAAAAGGGGTAACGTTCTTGATTTTATTCTCAGCTTGGTTGTTCTTGGTGTATAGCAGTGTAACTAATTTGTGTACATTGATTTTTTTTATCATGAAATTTTACTGAATTCATTTATCATATCTAGAAGCTTTTTGAATGAGTCCTTAGGGTTTTCAAGATATACAATCATATTTTCAGTGAACAATGATAGTTTGACTTTCTTTTTACGACTTAAATGCACTTTATTTCCTTTCTCTTTCTTGATTGCTCTGTCTAGGACATACAGAACTTTGTTGAATAAAAGTGGTGAAAGCAGACATCCTTGTCTTTTTCCAGTTCTCACAGAAAAAGCTTTCATCTTTTTCCTATTCAGTATCATATGTGGCTTTTATTACCTTAAGATATGTCTCTTCTATGCTGATTTTGCTGATGGTTTTAATATATACGGGTACTGAATTTTGTCAAATTTTTATTCTGTGTCTATTGATATGGTCTTATTTTTTTTTACTTCTATTTATGTGGTGTAGCTCATTTATTGACTTGTGTATGTTAAACTATTCCCTTATCCTTGGTATGAAACCCACGTGATCATGATGGATTATCTTTTTGAAATGCTGTTGGATTTGGTTAGCTAGTATTTTGTTGAGAATTTTTGCATCTACGTTAATCTGGTATATTGGTCTATAGTTTTGTTGTTGCTGTTGTTGTTGTTTCCTGGTTTTGGTATTAGGGTGACACTGGCTTCACAGAATGATTTAATGAGAATTCTCTCTTTTTCTGTCTTTTGGAATAGTGTCAATAGGACTGGTATCAATTCTTCTTTGAATATCTGATAAATTAATATGTGAATCTATCTGGTCCTGGGCTTTTTGTTTTTGGTGGGCAATTTTTTTTCACAATTACCATTTCAATCTTGCTGCTTACTATTGATCTGCTCAGAGTTTCTGTTTTTTCCTGGTTTATTCTGGGAGGATTGTATATTTCCAGGAATTTATCCATCTTCTCTAGGTTTTCTAGTTTGTGTGCATAAAGGTATTCATAGTTGCTTTCAATGATTTTTTGTATTTCTGTGACATCATTTGTAATATCTCCCATTTCATTTCTAATTGAGTTTATTTGGCTCTTCTCTCTTATTTCCTTGGTTAATCTCACTAATGATCCATAGATTTTGTTTTTCATTTCAAAGAACTAGCTTTTTTGTTTTATTTATTTTTTGATTGTCTTTTGTTTCAATTTCATTGAGTTCTTTTCTGATTTTTGTTATTTCTTTTCTTCTGCTGGATTTGGGTTTAGTTTGTTCTTGTTTCTGTAGTTCCTTGAGGTGTGATGTTAGGTTGTCTATTTGTGCTATCTCAGACTTTTTGATGTAGAAAATTAATGGTATGAACTTTTCTCTTAGCACTGCTTTTGCTGTATCCCAGAGTTTTTTATAAGTTGTATCACTGTTGTCATTCTGTTAAAATAATTTTTAAATTTTCCTCTTGATTTTATTGTTAACACCAAAGATTATTAAAGAGACTATTTAATTTACATGTATTTGCATAGTCATGAGGGTTCCTTTCGGGATTAATTTCCAGTTTTATTCCACCATGGTCTGAGAAGGTACTTGATATGATTTCAATTTTATTAAACATATTGAGACTTGTTTTGTGGTTCTTTTATATGGCCTATCTTGGAGAATGTTCCATGTGCTAATGAGAAGAATGCATATTCTGCAGTTGTTGCATAGAATATTCTGTAAATACATGTTAAGTCCATTTGTTCTAGGGAATAGTTTAAGTCCATTTTTTTCTTTGTTTACTTTTTGTCTTGATGACCCGTTTAGTGCTGTCAGTGGAGTATTGCAGTCCACTACTGGTATGGTTTGTCTGTGTCCTCACCCAAATCTCACCTTAAATTGTAATGATCCCCACATGTCATGGGTGGGGCCAGGTGGAGATAATTGAATTATGGTAGCGGTTTTCCCCACACTGATCTCATGGTAGTAAATAAGTCTCATGAGATCTGATGGATTTATAAAGGGCAGATCCTCTACACATGCTTTTTTTGCCTGCCACCATGTGAGACGTGACTTTACTCTTCCTTTGCCTTTTGCCATGATCGTGATGCCTCCACAGCCATGTGGAACTGTGAGTCTTTCCTTTATAAATTACCTAGTCTTAGGTATGTCTTCATTAGCAGCATGAGAACTCACTAATACAACTACTATTATTGTGTTTCTGTGTGTCTCATTTCTTATGTCTAATAGTAATTGTTTTATGAGTTTGGGAGCTCCAGTGTCAGGTGAATATATATTTAAGATTATAATATTTTCCTGTTGAACTAGTCCTCTTATCATTATATAAGGTCCCTTTTTGTCTTTTTTAACTGTTGCTGCTTTAAAGTGTGTTTTGTCTGATATAAGAATATAGCTACTCTTGCTTGCTTTTGGTGTCCATTTGCATAAAATATCTCTTTCCATCCCTTTACTTTAAGTTTATGTGAGACCTTACATGGTAGGTGAGTTTCTTGAAGACAACAGATACTTGGTTGGTGAATTCTTATCCATTCTGCCATTCTGTGTCTTTTAAGTGGAGCATTTAGGCCATTTACGTTCACCGTTAGTATTGAGATATGAGGTGCTATTCTGTTCATTATGCTAGTTGTTACTTGAATACTTTGGTATGTTTTTCATTGTGTTATTGTTTTATAGGCCCTGTGGGAGTTATGCTTTATTGAGGTCCTATTTTGGTGTATGTTGAGGTATTGTTTCAAGATATAGAACTTCTTTTAGCGTGCTTGTAGTGTTATCTTGGCAGTGGTGAATTCTCTCAGCATCTATTTGTCTAAAAAATGCTTTATTTTTTCTTTATTTATGAAACTTAATTTCCTTGGATACAAGATTATTGGCTGATAATTGTTTTGTTTAAGGAGGCTAGAGATAGGCTTCATTTCCTTCTAGCTTGTAGGGTTTCTGATGAGAAATCTGCTGTTAATTTGGTTAATTTTTCTTTATAGTTATTTGATGCTTTTGCCTCACAGCCTTTACAATTCTTTCCTGCATCTTGACTTTAGATAACCTGATAACTATCTGTCCAGGTTATGATCTTTTGGGATGAATTTTCTGGGTGTTCCTTGAGCTTTATCTGTTTGCGTGTCTATATATCTAACAAGGCCAGGGAAGTTGTTTTTCCTTGATTATTTCCTTAAATAAGTTTTCCAAACTTTCTTTCTTTCTTTCTTTCTTCTTTTTGAGACAGGGTCTCACTCTATTGCCTAGACTGGAGTGCAGTGGTGCAATCTCAGCTCTACAACCTCTGCCGCCCAGGCTCAAGCAATTCTCCTGCTTCAGCCTCCCGAGTAGCTGAGATTACAGGCACACACCAGTACTATCTGGCTAATTATGTGTTTTTAGTAGAGAAGAGCTTTCACCATGTTGGCCAGGCTGGTCTTGAACTCCTGACTTCAAATGATCCACCTACCTCGGCTTCCCAAAGTGCTGGGATTATAGGTGTGAGCCACTGTGCCCAGTCCAGGAACACCAATTATTCTTATGTTTGGTCATTTATCATAATCCCAAACTTTTCGGAGGCTTTGTTCATTATTTTTTCTTTTTTTTTTTGTCTTTTTTGGATTGGATTAATTTGAAAGCCTTGTCTTTAAGCTCTGAAGTTTTTTCTTCTCCTTGTTTGATTCTATTTTTGTAACTTTCCAGTATATTTTGCATTTTTCTAAATGTGTCTTTTATTTCTGGAAGTTGTGATTGCTTTTTATAAATGCTATCTATTTCTCTGGGATTTTTTCATCCTTATCCTGTATTTATTTTTTAAATTTCTTTAAATTGGTTTTTACCTTTTTTGGTGCCTCACTGAGTAGCTTAATAATCAACCTTCTGAATTTTTTTCTGGCATTTCAGAGATTTGTTTTTGGTTTGAATCCATTGCTCATGACCTAGTGTGATGTTTTGGGGTTGTTAAAGAACTTTGCTTTTTTTATATTACCAGAATTGTTTTTCAGGTTCCTTTTCATTTGGGTAGTCTATGTCAGAGAAAAAATATGGGGTTTACAGGCTGCTGTTCTAATTTTTTTGTCCCATGAGGTGGTCCCTTGATGTAATGCTCTCTCTTTTTCCCTAAAAATAGGACTTCTTGAGAGCTGGACTGCAGTCATTTTTATTGCTCTTCTGGGTCTAGCCACCCAGCAGAGTTACTGGGCTCCAGGCTGGTAATGGGGACTGTCTGTAAAGAGTCCTGTGATATGATCTGTCTTCAGGTCTCTCAGCCATGGATACCAGCCCCTACTTCAGTGGAGATAGCAGAGGCGTGAAGTGGAATCTGTGAAGATCTTTGGTTGTAGCTTTGTTTAGTTCACTGGTTTTCTCAAATGCTAGTTTTGTTGATGGTTGGTTGGCTTCTAGCCAGGAGGTGGTGGATTCAAGACAGCATCAGCTGATACAAGCTTGCCCTAAGGTCACCTGGATGAATATTCAGGTTTCTCAGGCAATGGGCAGTGCCATAGAGCTCCCAAGAGATTATGTCTCTTATTTTTGGCTACCAGGGCAGGTAGAGATAGAGCATCAGGTAGGTGCAGGGTTAGGCATTTCTAAGCTCAGACTCTCCTTGGGCGGGGCTTGCTGCAGCCTCTGTTGGGGATAGGGGTGTGGTTCTTAGGCAAATGGAGTTACATTCCCAGGAGGATTATGGCTGCTTCTGCTGCAATATACAGGTCACCAGGGAAGTCAGGGAAAGCTGGCAGCGACAGGCATCACCCACTTACCATGCAGCCAACAAGGACAGTCTCATTCCCACCACCTGCATGGAGTTAATATTCAGGCCCCTGGTGCCAGACTCAGATCTTGCCTCAGGCAACCAACCTCTTTGCTGAGAACACAAGCAGGGCTTTCAGGCTCCACCTTTCCCTGCTTTCCTTGGCTTCTGTGCTCATATTTGCACTTCCCATTTGCTGTCCTCCTGGATTCTGCCCAGGAAAGTTTACGATCATTTTAAATTATTACAAAGTTCAGCTGGAAGTTTCCTTCTTCCTGTGATCCTGCCCCAATTTCACTGGCAGCCTTACCCAAGGAGCCCCATGAGACAAAGTCAAAAATGGCTTCATTGGGGATTGCGAGTACCCACAGGGCTCTTTCTGCTGCTTCTTCTACCTTTATATTTTGCTTCACACTCTAAATTTGTTTTAGCTCTAGGGAAGATTAAATCCTTCTCCATGATGTGGATTTTCAGGTTCCCCAGGGATGATTTGTGTTCAGAAGTGGACCTTTCTTCTCTCACACCTTGGGCACTCACAGTTTTTTGGCTGTCACAGGAAGCTTGCAGTGGCAAGCTGCTTCCTTCAAAGGTTCTGTGAATTCTTTTGGTTTTCCTGCTATGTTCCTGTGGTAGTCCTTGAAGCAAAAGTTCACAATGTGAATCTCCACATGCTGTTCCATCTATCTGAGTAGGAGCTGCAAGTTAGTCCTCCCTGCTAACTAGCTGCCATTTTTCTCAAAAGACCAGTCTGGCCATATTAACAATATGGATTCTTCTAGTCCGTGAGTATGGAATATTTTCAAATTTGTTGGTGTCATCTCTGATTTCTTTCAGCAGTGTTTTTTTGGTTCTCCTTGTAGAGTTATTTTACCTCTTTGGTTTGATTTGTTTCTAGGTACATTTTTTGGGGTAACTATTGTAAATGGAATTTTGTCCTTAATTTGGCTCTCAGCTTGAATGTTATTGATGTATAGAAATGCTACTGATTTTAGCCTGGGCAAGAATATGGTGAGACCCAATCTCTACAAAAAATACAAAAATTTAGCTAGGCGCTGGTGGCTTGTTCTGGTAGTCCCAGCTACTCAGGAGGCTGAGGCCGGAGAATTATTTGAGCCCAGGAATTGGAGGCTGTGGTGAGCTGAGATCATGCCACTGCACTCCAGTCTGTGTGACAGAGTGAGACCCATAAAAAAAAAGCTAATAATTTTTATATATTGATTTTGTATCCTAGAATTTTACTGAAGTCATTAATCATTTCTAATATCCAACAAAGGTCCTTTGGAGTTCAAAATAATATTTAAGAGTTTAAACAGCTCCTCAGTCCAAAAGGTTTGATATCTGTTCCACTACAGATTAAAATACGTGTCTGATTTTTTTAAGTTCACATTAAATTGGTAATTTCACCACTTCAAACCAATGACCAGAATTTTACAAAAAAGCAGTGCCATTGTTATCATATTTTTGACTTTTATATATGTTATGCATTTTAAAAAACTTTAACAGTGTTTTTATTTTAAACAGGCAGCATCCTTTTCTATTTTATGTGCATGTTTTTCCTTTGTAGTGCTTTTTGTTACTTTTTTCAGTTTCTTATTTTCATCTGATATTATTTCCCTTCAGGCAGAAGAACTCCCTTTACTGTAGTTCAAGTCTCCTGTGAGAAATCCTTTCAGCATTTATTTTTGTTAAAACATCTGAATTCTTCCTTCATTTTTGAAGGCTATTTACATATATTCAATTTTGTCTTCAATTGTAAAGAACAGAATACATGTTAGCAGTCTTTTTTTTCACTATGTTAAAGATATTACACAATTATCTTGTGGCTAGGGTGACCAACCATCTTGATTTGCTTAGGACTGTTGCAGTTTATTTAATGTAATAATTTCTCTTTTCTATTTAATATGAAAATGAGGAGCATTTGTCATCCTACTTCTGACTTCCATTGCTTCTGCTAAAAAGTCATCTATCAGTCTTACTGTGGTTCCTTTGAAGAGTATCTCTTTTCTCTGGTTGATTTTAAGGTTTTTTTTCCATCTTTAACTTTTTAATAATTTGATAAAGATGTGTGTAGGTGAGTTTTTGTTTATTTATAGCCTGCATGTGGTTTGTTGAAATTCTTTAATCTGTGGGTTGATGTCTCACATGTATGTTAGACCTTTTGTGTATTTAATATATGCTCTTTTATCAGTTTTCCTTTTTTTTTCTACATGTTTTGGTTGGAATACTTTCAATGGACATCATTAAGTTTACTGTCTGCTGTAAACAACCCATTTATTGAAATAGCTCTTAATTTCAGATATAATATTTTGCAGTTTTAGAATATAGACTTGACTTACATATATTTATACATTCTAATTACATTTTGGAAATATGCATCTTTTCATCTATTTTACCAATATTTTTTCTCTATTTTATTTAATATAATAATAACATTTTTTGAAGCCCTTCTCTGCTAACCCCAATATATCTTATCTAATCTCTGGTATACTGGTATTGATTATTACTTTTCTTGCTTGTTAGTCATTTTTCTTTTGTCTTTGCATATCTAGTAATTTTTATTATATTCCAAATATTGTGAACAATACACTGCAGTGACTCTGTATTACATTATTTTTCTCTAGAATATGTAGAATAATAGTGTGGCAGATAGTTAAATTGCCAGTAGACCACCTTGGTTCTGTTGAGATTTGGTTAGTCTGTTATTAAAATGGTTGTGTTAGAGTGTATTCCATACTCCATAACCACATGGTAGGGTCTTTTTGAGGTCTCTTTGCCCCTTTTTTTTCTTTTCAAAATTAAACCTCCATCTCCCAATATCTGTGCTGCCTCTGAAATATCTACCTAGCATTTCAGCCTCTCAGCAGCTGTTCTCTGATAGAACTCCCAGACTTCTATCATATCATATAAATGCATAGCTTAGAAATAAATAAGGCCAGGCGTGGTAGCTCACACATGTAATCCTAGCACTTTGGGAGGCCGGGGCGGGCAGATTGCCTGAGCTCAGGAGTTCAAAACCAGCCTGGGCAACATGGTGAAACCCCATCTCTACTAAAATACAAACATTTTTGTACATTACAGGTACACCCCGGGCACAGCGGAGTGTACCTGTAGTCCCAGCTACTTGGGAGGCTGAGGCAGAAGAATTGCTTGAACGTGGAGACGAAGGTTGCAGTGAACCAAGATCACACCACTGCACTCACTCCAGCCTGGGCGACAGAGCGAGATTTCTTAAAAAAAAAGAAAAAGAAAAGAAAGAAATAAGTTAAATAATTAAGGAAAATTTTATTCCAATTTTGCAACTATTTCTCTGTGGCCTCTTTGGGGATCACCAACCTGCCACAAGGCCCAATTGCCACGATGTCTCTGAAATTATTTGCCCAGAAAACCCGTTTTTCTGTGCTCTTGCTCTATTGCTCTGTACTGCGAATTAGAAAATGCCCTCAGGGAGCCTTTGGGATTCACCTCATGCAGTTTTCTTCTCTCAAAGGTTGTAGCCTTACTTGTCTTGCAATTTTTGTGAATAGATTGTTATATATATATTTTCCAGGTTTTATAGTTGTTTATAGTAGAAGGATAATTCTGATACAAGCTATCACTCACCATAGCTTCTTATATCCCATTCCTTCCTTAAAAATTTCTTAAATATCTTGTTAGTGACAGCATGTAAATAGTAGTCAACTTCTGCAGTTTACTACTATTCTGCAATAAATATCTTTATTTTTGCCCTGTGATATGGTTTAGCTGTGTCGCTACCCAAATCTCATTTGAATTGTAGTTCCCATAATCCCCACATGTTATGGGAGGGACCTGGTGTAAAGTAATTCAATCATGGGTGGTTACCCTCATGATAGTGAGTGAGTTCTCACGAGATCTGATGGCTTCGTGAGGGGTTTTTCCCCTTTTGCTTTGCCCTTCTCTCTTGACTGCCACCATGTAAGAAGTGACTTTTCTCCTCCTTTGCCTTCTGCCATGATTGTGAGGCCTCCCCAGCCACGTGCAACTATGAGTCAATTAAACCTCTTATTTATAAATTACCCAGCCTTGGGTATGTCTTTATTAGCAGCATGAGTACAGACAAAAACATCCTCTCTCAAGTTAAATAATTTTAACTTAAAATTTATTTTTTAGTCAGAATTGAAAAACTCTGATTATCTTCTGGTGGACAGTTTTGCTGATGAGAAAACTGCTATTACTCTAATTTCCATTTATTATGGATGATTCATCTTTTATCTGAGAAAGATATTAAGATTATTTTCTTTATTTTTTATATACTGAATTTCACTATTAATTATATAGACGTGGGGGTGTTTTTTTGTTTTGCTTTATTTAATTTGGAATAGGCTTAATTCTCTGAATCTAAGAATTTACATATTTCATCAGTTCTAGGTAACACTTTCCAGCATATTTTGAAGGATCAGTTCTTTTCCATTATCTCTATTCTGTTCTTTGGGAATTCTTTTTTTTTTCTTTTTTTTTTTAGACGGAGTCTCGCTTTGTCACCCAGGCTGGAGTGCAGTGGCAGGATATTGGCTCACTGCAACCTCCACCTCCTGGATTCAAGCGATTCTCCTGCCTCAGCCTCCTGAGTAGCTGGGATTACAGGCACACGCCACCATGACTGGCTAATTTTTGTATTTTTAGTAGAGACGGAGTTCACCATGTTGGTTAGGCTGGTCTTGAACTCCTGACCTTGTGATCTGCCCACGTCGGCCTCCCAAAGTGCTGGGGTTACAGGCGTGAGCCACCGCGCCTGACCTCTTTGGGAACTCTTAGTTACAAGAATGTTGAATCTTCTCATTAAACTCTGCAGGTTTTAAACTCTTTTTCATATTCTTCATCTTATTTCTATATAGTACACTCTGGATTCATTCCTCTTCAGATGTTTTAAATATGAATTTAAATTATCTTGTGAATGCTAAAATATCAATTACTAAAATTTCCTTTTCTCAAAATAATATTTGTTCTTTTCAACCCCCCTTGTACTTTTTTTATATTACCCTCTACTTACTTATTATATTTTTAAATAACTGCTTTCTTCTATTTAACCATTGCAAGCATACTTTATTTGTAATACATTCATGATCTTCTGTTATTTTCTATTGTGGGGATGTCAACTGTTTGAAGACAAGGCTCCATGGATCTCTCATGTTTCTTAATTTCTTATGAGCAGAAGTTTGTAACTTACTCCAGCTAAAGAAGTGGCAGGCATTGCTCAAAAATATTGTAAGGTAAACAAACAACTTGATGCCTGGGACAAAAGAGTACATATAAGACATACAATAGACTACCTATAGTCTGGTAAAAAAAAATTGGGGTGGGTTTTTGTTTTACATTAGAGTGTACAGATCACCCATACCTGATAAATTATAAAGTCGCATGCAGGCCTAGGGCAAGACACATGCTCAGAAGAAATCTGAGAACACCCTAAGCTTTTACATCAAGCTGATTCCTAGTTTCACTGTAAACTTAAACTTGGCTTTATGTTGAAAGAGAGCCCCAGTAGAGGAATAATAAGCAAAATCTTGTATATGTTTTTGTTTTCTATTTGTAGCTCCTGGCATTCAGGAAACGTGAAAACACCAGCTGCACACAAGCTAAACAAACAAGGACATCATGACCACACATGAAAAGAAGTTTTATAGTTTTTGAAAAATGGTTTGAAAAAGTCACTAAAAATAATAAACAACTAGAGCCTTAAACATTTTTTAAAAAATCCCAGCAAATCCTGTGAAAGAAGAATCTGATTCCAGAATTACCATGTTATAATATTCAAAGGTATATATTTTTTTCATTTTTATAAAATTTTAGAGATGAGGGTCTTACTCTGTTGCCCATACTGGAGTGTAGTGTCATGATCAGAGCTCACTTCAGCCTTAAACCCCTAGGTTTAAGAGATCATCCCACTTCAACCTCATAAGTAGCTGGGACTAGATGTGTAAGCCACTGGGCCCAACTAATTTAATTTTTTTTAAAGATATAGGCAACTTGTTATGTTGTTGAGGCTGGCCTTGAACTGTGGCCTCAAACAATCCTCCTCCCTCACCATTTTGAGTAGCTTGGATTATAGGTATGAGCCACTGTGCCCAGGAAATCTTCATCTTTCTACCAAAAAATATTATAAGGCATAAAAAGAAACATGTAAAGTATAGCACATTTGAATGAACATAATAAGTAGAAAGAAATCATCCCTGAAAGAATCATAGGAGTTATGAGATAAAAGCATCAGGTAACATATTAAGGAAACCTACCAGACTAACAGCAGATTTCTCAGCAGTAACTTTACAAGCCAGAAAGAATTGGGGTCCTATCTTTAGCTTCCCTAAACAAAATACTTGTAAGCCAAAAATTGTGTATCCAGAAAAACTAAACTTCATAAATGAAGGAGAGATAAAGTCTTTCTCAGACAAACAAATGCTGAGAGAATTTGCCACTACCAAATCAGCACTACAAGAAATGCTAAAGGAGTCCTAAATTGTAAAATTAAACCTCAGAATACACCAAAATAGAATCTTCTTAAAGCATAAATTTTATAGGGCCTATTAAACAATAACACAATAAAAGAGCAAAGTATTAGGGAATAACTAACATGATGAATAAAACAGTACCTCACACCTCAATACTAATATTGAATGTAAATGACTTAATGCTCCTCTTAAGAGATACGGAATGGCAGAATTGATAAAAACCCACTAAGTGGGTAACTGCTGTCTTTGAGAGATTTACCTAACACATAGGTAAAAGAGTGGAAAAAATATTTCATTCAAATGAAAACAAAAGTGAGCAGGAGTAGCTGTTCTTAAAAAAAAAAGTAAAGAAGGACATTATATAATCATAAAAAGACTAGTTTAATAGGAAGATATTATAATCCTAAATATGTATGCACCTAACACTGGAGCTCCCAAACTCATAGAACTATTACTACTAGACCTAAGAAATTAAATACATGGAAACACAATAATAGTAGGGGACTTCAATACTTCACTGAGTGCTAGACAGTTCACCAAGAGAGAAAGTCGACAAAGAATAAATGGACTTAAACTATACCCTAGAACAAATGAACTTAACACATATTTACAGAACATTCTGCACAACAGTTGCAAAATATACATTCTTCTCATCAGCACATGGAACATTCTCCAAGATAGACCACATACATGATAGGGCACAAAACAAGTCTCAATACATTTGTAAAAAATGACATCATATCAAGTATGTTCTCAGACCACAGTAGAATAAAACTGGAAATTAACCCAGAAAGGAACCCTCAAAACTAAACAAATACATGGAAATTAAATAATCGCTTTAATAATATTTGGGTTAAGAATGAAATCAAGGTGGAAATTAAAAAATTCTTTGAACAGAATGACAATAATGGTACTAATTAAAAAAAAAACCTCTTGGATACAGCAAAAGCAGTGTTAAGAGAAAAGTTCATAGCATTAAATTCCTTCTTCAAAAAGTCTGAAGGAACACAAATAGACAAACTAATGTTACACCTCAAGGAATCAAAGAAACAAGAACAAATTAAACCCAAATCCAGCAGAAAAAAAGAAATTCAAAAATCAGAGAAGAACTAAACGAAATTGAAACAAAAAGATAGAAAAAATAAATGAAACAAAAGCTGGTTCTTTGAAAAAATAAACAAAATTGATAGAACATTAGTGAGATTAACCAATAAAAAAGAGAGAAAATCCAAATAAGCTCAATTAGAAATGAAAATGAACATATTACAACTGATACAACAGAAATACAAGAGATTATTCAAGGCTACTATGAACACCCTTACATGCACAAACTAGAAAATCTAGAGAAGACAAATAAATTCCTGGAAATATACAAATCTCCTAGATTAAATCAGGAAGTAATAGGCAGAAATCAGGAAGAAATCAGGGCAGACCAATAGCAAACAGTGAGACTGATACAGCAATTTACAATTTGCCAAGAAAAAAGGGCCAGGACCAGATGGAGTCACAGCTGAATTCCACAAGACATTCAAATAATTGGTACCAATCCTATTGAAACTATTCCAAAGGATAAAGAGGGAGTTCTTACTAAATCATTCTATGAAGCTAATATCACCCTAATACCAAAACCAGAAAAGGACGTAACAAAAAAAGAAAACTACCGACCATTATCCCTGATGAACACAGAAGCAAAAATCCTCAACAAAATACTATCTAACTGAATCCAACAGCATATCTAAAAGATAAAACATCATGAGTAAGTGGGTTTCATATCAGTGATGCAGGGATGGTTTAACATACGCAATTCAACAAATGTGATACATCACATAAAAAGAATTAAAAATAAAAATCATATAATCATCTCAAAAGATGCAGAAAAATCATTTGACAACATCCAGTATTCCTTTATGATAAAAATCCTTAACAAATTTGGCATAGAGGACATATATCTCAAAGGAATAAAAGCCACCTATGAGAAACCCAAAGCCAATATCATACCAAATGGAAAAAAGTTGAAAGTGTTCCCCCTGAGGACTGGATCAAGACAAGGATGCCCACTTTTACCACTTATATTCAACATAGTACTGGAAATTCTAGCCAGAGCAATCAGATAAGAGAAGGAAATAAAGGGCATCCAAATTGGAAAAGAGGAAGTTAAACTGTTGCTGTTCACCCAGATATAAACTAATACCTAGAAAACCCTAAAGACTCATCTAAAAACCTCCCAGATCTGATAAATACATTCAGAAAAATTTCAGCATACAAAAATCAATGTACACAAATCAGTAGTACTGCTATACACTGACAACGACCAAACTGAGAATCAATTTAAGAACACAATCCCTTTTACAACAGCTGCAAAAATAAAATAAAATAATTACAAATATACTTAACCAAGGCGGTAAAAGAGCTCTACAAGAAAAATTACAAAACACTGCTGAAACAAATCATAGATGACACAAACAAATGAAAAGCATTACATGCTCATTGATGGGTAGAATCAATACTGTGAAAATGACCACACTGCCTGAAGCAATCTACAAATTCAACACTATTCCCATCAAAATACCATTATCATTCTTCACGGAACTAGAAAAAACAATTCTAAAATTCATATGGAACCAAAGAAAAGCCTGCATAGCGAAAGCAATATTAAGCAAAAAGAATAAATCTGGAGCCATCGCATTACCTAACTTCAAACCATACTGCAAGGCTACAGTTACCAAAGCAGCATGGTGCTGATATAAAAATAGGCCTTAGACCAATGGAACTGAATAGAAAACACAGAAATAAAGCCAAATAGAGTCAACTGATCTTTAACAAGGCATACAAAAACATAAAGTGGGGAAAGGACACCTTATTCAACAAATGGTGCTGAGATAATTGGCAAGCCACATAGAGTAGAATGAAACTGGTTCCTTATCTCTCACCTTATATAAAAATCAACTCAAGGTGAATGGAAGTCTTAAATCTAAGACCCAAAACCATAAAAATTCTACAAGATAATATTGAAAAAACTCTTCTGGCCATTGGCTTACCAAAGAATTCATGACCAAGTACCCAAAAGCACATGCAACAAAAATAAAAATAAATAAATAGGACCTAATTAAAATAAAAAGCTTCTGCATGGCAAAAGAAATAATCAGCAGAGTAAACAGACAACCTACTGAATGCATGAAAATATTAAAAAACCATGAATCCAACAAAGGCCAAATATTTAGAATCTAAAAGGAACTCAAATCAGCTAGAAAACAACAACAACAGCAAAAACAATCTCATCGTAAATGGGTAAAAGACATGAATGGATAATTCTCAAAAGAAGATACGCAAATGGCAAACAAACAAAAAAATGCTCAACATCACTGATTATCAGGGAAATGTAAATTAAAACTGCAGTGAGAGACCACCTTACTCCTGCAAAAATGGCTATAATTTAAAAATAAAAATAATAATAAATGTTGGCATGGATGTGGTGAAAAAGGAACACTTTTACACTGCTGGGGGGAATGTAAACTAGTACAGCCATTGTGAAAAACAATATGGAGATGCCTTAAAGGAATAAAAATAAAACCACCATTTGACCCAGCAATCCTACTATTGGGTATCTACCCAAAGAAAAAGAAGCATTATATCAAAAATACATCTGCACTAGTATGTTAATTACAGTACAATTCACAATTGCAAAGAAATGGAATCAACCTAAATACCCATCAACCAATGAGTGGATACAGAAAATTTGGTATATAGATACCGTGGAATACTACTCAGCCATAAAAACGAAAGGAAAAATGAACTTTGCAGCAACTTGGGTGGAGTCGAAGGCCATTATTCTAAGTAATGTAACTCAGAAATGGAAAAACAAATATCCTATGTTCTCACTTATAAGTGGAAGCTGAGCTATGAGGATGTAAAAGCATAAGAATGATTTAATGGACTCTGGGGACACAGAGGGAAGGTTCAGAGGGCATTGAGGGATAAGAGACTACATGTTGGCATAGTCTATACTGCTCTGGTTATGGGTGCATCAGAATCTCAGAAATCAGCATTAAAGAACTGATCCATATAACCAAAACCACCTGTTTCTTAAAAACCATTAAAATTTAAAAAGAAGTATAAAAAGAATTGGGGAAATTGAGGTGGAGTAAGGAGCAAATGGAAACTCTTTGTACTTTCTCGTCAATGTTTTTGTAGACATAAAAACTGCTCTAAAAATAGCATCTATTAACTTTAAAGAAAATAGAGCTAGGATGGCTATACTAATATCATTCAAAATAAACTTTAAGTCAAAAACTGTTACAAGAGACAAATAATAACTATATAGATACAGATAAAATGGTAAAATTTTCAAGAAGATATAAAAACTCTAAACATCTATGTACCAATCAATAAATTCCACAAATATATGAAGCAAACATTGAGAGAATTGAATGGAGAAATGGAAAGTTCTACAATAACTGTAGACTTCCACACCATACATTTTTTTTTTGATCCGCTTTCTCACTCTGTAATCCAGGCTGGAGTGCAGTGGTGTGATCACGGCTCACTGAAGCCTTGGCCTCCAAGGCTCAAGTGGTCCTCTCACCTCAGCCACCTGAGTAGATAGGACTACACTCGCATGCCACCATGTCTGGATATATATATATTTATTTATTTATTTATTTGTAGAGATGTTGGTTTGCCATTTTGCCCAGGCTGGTCTTGAACATTTGGGCTCAAGTGACATACTCACCTTGGCCTCCCAAAGTGCTGGCATTAAAGGCATTAGTCATGACCTTTGGCAACACCATACTTTCAATAATGTATGGAATATCTAGATACAAGTTTAATAAATAAATAGAGGACTTGAACAACTCTATAAACTAATTTTACTAAAAAGACATATATAAAAAGACATACTAAAAAGAACACTCCATCCAACAAAACAGCAAAATATATATTGTTCTCACGTGCACATAGAACATTCTCCAGGAAGACCATATACTAGACCACAAAACAAGTTTCCATAAATTTAAAAAGAATAAAGCTGAAGATGGCAAACTAGACACAGCCAGGACGTGCCATTTCAACTGAGAAAGACCAAGGTTTTGAGTGAACAAACATAACTTGGACAGATATTTGGAGAGAAAATGCAGAGAGTGGTTGTAGATGTGACACAGACCCTCAGGCTGAGGCTGAAAAGGAGGCTGGGAACCCTGCATGGGGTAGCCTAATGCTGGGGCTATTTTCCATGCCTGAATGGCTCTTGAAAAACAGATGAGTGAAGGTGCTGTGGGAATACTCACTTTCGTTGCTGAGCTATGGGATCCTAGCTACAGGGGGCCGCAGGTTTCCCATGGACATTTGAGCTGGGAGGGGGATCTGCCTGGAAGGTAGACAGAAAAAGGGCTTCAGCTAGCATGGAACCGAGGGCCTTTGTGACCAGTGCAGTTCTAATAGAGTGTGATCATAGGTGCCCATCCCCCAACTCCCTCCAAGAAACTCTAGAACCAGTTGACCACCAGCCCAAGAAAAAGCAGAGCCACCTTTCCCATAGGACTGGGGCACATCTGTTTTGCAGGCCCTCCTTCATGCCAGCCTCAGTGCTTTACTCCACCTAGTTACTTTTCTGGTAGCCTGGGAGCACATCAGGTCCCCCAGCACACTCCAAGGGTTTAGAGAATGGAGATGTGACCTGATCCTAGTGCTGCAGGGCTGCAGTGTGCAGCTCGGTAGTGTAAAGTTGAAATATTTCACCAACAATTGAGCAGGCGAGGAGCCCACACTTTGAGAACACTGAGACAAGTGAGATACACAGGCTCATGAACTGTAGCTGGAGCAGGACATGCCTCCCTCCAAAGGACCTGCGCAGAAAAGATGTGGCCTATCTCTCTGACTAAGTCTCTGCACAGAGAACTCTGTGGCCCAGAACACCTAACAAAAGAAACATGAGCACAATGCCAGTGATTGGAGGGGGCAACCCCAAGGTCCAGAAGTGGACCTGGTGAGGGTTCACCTCTCCTACTCTGCATCACAGAACATGGCTGCAAACGTGAGTAAATACAGAAGAGCCATGCACCTGAGTAATTATTAGTCAAATAAAGATAAATAATTAGCAAAACATTTACTATAAATCCACAGTAGTCAAGAAGGTGTGGTATAAGTGAAAGAATAAACCAGTCTATCAATGGAACAGAATAGAAGGATCAGAATACACACACACAAAATCAATAAAAGTATTTTTGAAAAAAGAACAAAGACAATTCAATGAAGAATTGATAGTCTTTTCAACAAATGGTGCTGGAACAACCGGACATTCACATGCAAAAATTAATCTAGACCCTGACCTTAGGCCTTTCATAAAAGCTAACCTAAAATGGATCAGAGACCTAAATGTAAATCAAAATTATAAAACCTTTAGAAGATAACAGAGCAATATCTAGCTGACTTTGAGTTTAATCATAAGTTTTTTAGTTACAACACCAAATACATAATCACTGAAAGAAGAATTGATAAATTTTCCATGTATTAAAATAAAAACCTCTTTTCTGAGAAATATAATGTTAAGGTAATAAAAAGACAAGCCACAGACTGGGAGAAAATATTTCCAAAACGCATCTGATACAAAGAGCTCTCAAAATTCAACAATAAGAGAAGAAACAACCCAATTTTAAAATGAACAAAATATTGGAGCAGATACCTCAGTAAAACCATAAATAAATGGCAAATAAACTTATGAGATGCTCAATATTATACATAATTGGGGAATTGCAAACTAAAACAATAATGAAATACAACTGAACAGCTCTTAGAATGGCTAAAGTACAAAAAAACTGACACCATAAAATGCTGGTGAGAATATTGAGCATCATTGATTGCAGGTGGAATTGAAAAAGGGTACAGTCACTTTTGAAGACAGACTGGAAGTTTCTAACAAAGCTAAACATCTTAACATGATTCAGCAATCACACATTTAGGCATTCACCCAAATAATTTGAAAACATATCCCCACAAAACCAGCACCCAGATATTTATTGGAGCTTTATTCACATTTGCCAAAAATTCAAAGAAACCAAGGTGTCCTTCAATAGGTGGATGGGATAAACTGGGGTACATTCATAAAACAACATATTATTAAGTGTTAAAAACTTCAGCTATCAAGTCATGAATAGACATGGAGAAACCATAAATGCATTTTATTGCTAGTTGAAAGAAGCCAGTCTCAAAAGGCCACATATTGTATAAATTCAACGATATAACATTCTGGTAAAGGCAAAAGTGTATAGACAGTAAAAATTTAGCTGTTGCAGGGGTTACAGACAAGGGGAGGGTATGAGGAAATAATGAATAGGTGAAGTACAGGAGATTTTTAGAGAAATGGAACTATTCTGTGTTAATCTGTAATGGCAGATACATGGCATTATGCATTTGGAAAAACTCACAGCACTGTACAACACAAAGAGTAAACATTGATATAAGCTATGGACTTTAATAATAATGTGTCAATATTGGTTTATCAGTCGTAACAAATATACCACAATAATGTAAGTTATTAATATTAATAATCAGGGGAACTGTGTGGGGGGAGTATATGGAAATTCTCTTTACTATCTGTTAGATTTTTTTGTAAACTCTAAGAAATAAGCTATTAGTATAAAGAGACAAAATGGCACTGCCACTGAAAAGCAGTTTGGTGGTTCCTTAAAAATAAAATACAGTATTATGATATGACCCAGCAATTCTACTCCTAGATATAAAGCCCAAAGAATTCAAAACAGGTATTCAAACAAAACCTTGCACATGAGTGTTCATAGTAGCACTGTTAACAATAGCAAAAATGTAGAAACAATAGATATATTCATCAATGGATGAACAGATAAACAAGATGTGCCATATCCCTACGATAAAATATTATTCAGCCATAAAAAAGAATGAAGTACTGATATATGCTACGACATAAATGAGCCTCAAAAACATTTGCTAATTGAAAGAAGCCAGACATAAGAGGTCACATATTGTGTGAGTCTGTTTATATGAAATATCCAGAGTAATAAAATGCATACAGAGGAAAAGCAGATTAGTGGCTGCCTAAGGCTCTGGGGAAGGGAAAAGGGGAAGCAATCATTTGAGGTGTATGGGGTATTCTTTTGGGGGTGATGAAAATGTTTTGGAACTAGATAGAACTGATGTTTGCATAACATTTTAAATGTATTACATTACACCGTATTATATATTTCAAAATGATCACTTTTTTATGTTTCTTTTATTATTATTATTATTGTACTTTAAGTTTTAGGGTACATGTGCACAACGTGCAGGTTTGTTACATATGTATACATGTGCCATGTTGATGTGCTGCACCCATTAACTCGTCATTTAACATTAGGTATATCTCCTAATGCTATCCCTCCCCCCTCCCCCCACCCCACAACAGGCCCCTGTGTGTGATGTTCCCCTTCCTGTGTCCATGTGTTCTCATTGTTCAATTCCCACCTATCAGTGAGATCACTTTTTATCGAATTTTAATTCAATTAAAAAAGGAAAAAAAGTACTCTCTTTAGGTGAGGTATCTTCAACTAGCCTGTTTAAAAGCAAGTTTTCATAAACTACTTGATAGCCAATATGTTTAGACCATCACAAATACGTTAAAGTCCAAAGAAGTGAGCTGCTGGAATCTAGAAGATAATCCTTTTTTGAGCAAAAGCATTGGGATCAGACAAATTTATGTTTAAACTTAATTTAATAATCTAGGATTATAATTCCTACTTTGCCCAGTTTACTGAAGATTTTAATTAAGCATGGAAAGTAATTAGCAAAGTGCATGGCATGCAATTATCATTTTATTAAGCCAAAATTCTGGTACTGTTGGATGAGGTATTATATGATTTAATGACTTCTATCTTCTAATGCATAAAAAAGTTTCAAATTTTATTTATTATATATTCTATAATAGAGAAAAAAGATTTGTATATTCTTTGAATATTGAGTTCTTCATTCATCAACAAATGAATTGGTGACTTAAATATAGACCTTGTGTTTAACTAGCTTTAGACAATGAATTTTAAAAATTACCAATTTCTATCCTTGTAAACCTGCTATACCACTTACTGAAAACTTTCTCCCAACCATCTAATCTATTAGATTCATCAGAAGTGTTTTCTGGGCCCCTCCCTAGAGTTTTTTATACGTTTGGTCTCAGGCAAGGCTAGACAACTTGCATTTCTAACAAGTTCCCAGGTGATGATGATGAGAAATAGTGCCTTAGGATATCTTTGTTAAAATTTCACAGTTGAGACCATGTTATGAA
This sequence comes from Homo sapiens, assembly GCF_000001405.40. Lineage (NCBI taxonomy): Eukaryota > Metazoa > Chordata > Mammalia > Primates > Hominidae > Homo > Homo sapiens. Next base: position 84,618,764 of record NC_000023.11, on the reverse strand, counting down.
AACAGGCATATCATTTATGGTAAAATTATACCTGCTTTGTATTATGCTTTCACGCATTATTAATGAGAAGATTGGAGTCACTGAATTTATTGCACTTATACATTTGCTCACACTGTTCCCTTAACTACTTTGACATTGAATAAACAAGTTCACTGAAGTTGTTACTCAAAAACGTGGTCTCCCGTGAAGAATTATTTTAAATAATCCTCCATGCTAAGTCAGACATATCCAGCATTATTTTTGGTAATGACTTAAATTGTAAAAAATCTACATTCCTAAAACAAAGAGCAGTATTTCTTCTACATACCACATGTCTGCTACAATTAAACAAACACTTTTCACTCTTCTGGAAAATTAGTCACTTCCATGTTATACATAACATTTACTAATATTCTTTTAATTACTGTAAAATATGTTAACCTTCTATATTTCAGGAAAAAAAGCTATTTTTTCAAATGTATATTTTGTTACTCCACATGTCTGAAACCTAGGATTTTACAATTATCTAGGCATTATGCAAGTAGCATATACTAAATAATTTCTATAGTAACTTTTTCCTGAAACAGGATTGACTGGCACATACATTTGAATTGGAATTCCCATTTTACCTTCTTTGTATATTAACACTTTTATGATACTAGTCGATGACTAGCATCATAATAGAGTATAGATTATATAGAACAACATAGAAATTCAGATTTAGTAAAACAAAGCAATAACTGAGATTTAAGAATTGGAGAGGGAAAAGGAGGTAGTGATGGTGATATTATCAGCACTCTAATGCTTCACCAAAAGCTGGAACTGACTTCTAGGTATCATCACCGCATTCTAATACACAGCTTACTAAATGGGAATAAATAAAAGGCTTTCTGACATCAATAAATGCAAATATAAATGATTTCCACCAAACATAGCATGGTTCATAAAAGGAAACAAGCATAAAAAGTATCTGTAGTCATTCATCTTGTATAGCTAAAGGGAAAGCCTGTCAGGAAGCTAAATTAGATGTTAAGCATGATATGATATTCTAAGATTTTTTTCCGGATATAAAGATGATTACCAACACCTTAGAATTGCAAATGTGAAAGAGTAGAGATACACATTTGGCTTTAGGAAACCAAAATGTAAATAGTATGAAATATTTATACCAGAGATCTTGCAATCTTAAATTCCACTTGTATACTGTGGAAGATTTATTGTGAATTCAAATTCTAGAATGTACAGCCAATAGTGAAAGATAACCAAATTCTACTTCAATATCAAAGGGAAACTTCTAAAATATTAGCATACTTCTGTGTTTTACGTCAAGATAAATTCTAACTTTTAATGATGATTAGCTAATTAAACTATCTAATTTCATTTTCTCTCTTGTAAGGCTGTGATTTTGAAGGAAATTAAAGCCCTCTATGAGGAGAAGAAAAGAATCCCTGAAGCAAAAGTGTGTATATTCAGAGAAGCAAGGAAGAACCTAGCACAATAAAGACTATTACGTTTACAAGTTAATTATTTTATGAGTTAAACTCCTTTCTGGAACATTTCTGCTACTATGGGAGTTTGCAGAATTAACTATGTGCAATTTTAAAAGGCAACGCTTCAAAACAAATCTTGGAATTTGCAGACATGTTTTCCTCGTCCAAAAATGAGGAACTATGTCCACTTGCAAAGCAGGTGTTAAGTCAATAGTCACTTTTCCGTTGCCCAGCATTAAGAGGTCACAAACAGTTGTGCTCTTCTTCAGTGCAAATTCCATTTATATATTAAATAAGTCATTTATATAGTTATTTGAACTACTATGTATGTTACATAAATTATATTGGTGTAATAATGTGAAATTTAAAAAGGAAGTATGACTTCTAAAAATAAAAATATTTCTGGATTGATGGATTGATGGCTTATTTGGATCATCTCTGCTACTTTTAATCATTATAACAACTAGGAGTTATGATGAATGGTAAAAGCTTATTTGGAAGACACGAACCACAGAGCACTTCAAATATGTGCTGCTTAGAATATCAGATTTGTGATATGATGGGTACCTAAATTTACCTAATTATATATACAAAGTATAGGCAATGCGTCAGATTCACTTGAAGTATACTTATCTTAAAAGTAGATTTTTAGTTCCCACTTAAGAGTCTGATTCTCATCCCTCAATGTATGCTATAATGACTTGGGGAGCTTTGGGAAAATAACAATAGCCAAATTCTATCTCTTAACAATTAAATCTTAAATATATGGGGGTCAGGATGAGTATCAGTATTTTTTTTTTTTAAAACTCCTCAGATACTGTAATTTGCAGTGAGGATTGAAAACCAGTGGTAGCGATTCAGGTCCTTTGGGGTGGGACATAGAAAGCAGGCTGTATTAGCTCTACAGCTGTATTAGCACCTTATGATTTCAGGATTACTGCTGTAGAGGTCTTGACCTCTTTTTGTGAAGAGTGTGTTGCCCTTCACAGATGACTGATTGATCCAACTATTAGCCTGTTTTTAATTTTTCTTGCTCAACAGAGACACCAAGGAAGTTTGAAATCTTTTAGTTGCAGATCTTCTTTTCAGGAAATCACATGAGAGAATATTTTTGATCAAGCTCTCTTAGTTCTTCAAGGCCAACATGAAGATTGATTGATCAAGAACTATGGCTTCCGATTAGCTTTTTTCACTTCTTACACTTTCTTCCTAGAGACTTAGAATTTCCTCTTTAGGCTCTGTGATGATTGTGCTTATCTGCACAGCCAGAAACTTGGTTCTGTTGATATTTTTGAAATGGCTGTCATCAAACCCTATTGACCTAGCTCTTCCTTTTGCTTTGATAAATACATTTCTTTCTAGTCTTTTTTTTTTTTTACCTTGCAGATTCCAGGATTGTTTATCATGTGTTGTTTCCCCTGTGTTCTAGCTTTTTGAAACTGAAACTTCTTTTCTAACCTCTGCATGGATTAAACTAACAAACCAATTACTACCTAGAAGAAACTGGTCTCTGATTATTTTACTGACTGCATTAACATGTTAAAGCTATAGTTGAAGTAAACAATAAAAAAAAATAATGGTTATGGAAATGGGAAATTAGAAGTAGAATGGGAGAGTATGGTGTCAACACTTTCCAGTACAGAGTGAAAAGTCTTTGTCAGGAGCAGGTCCCAACAAGTTATTTTCTACATTTATAGAAGTGAAAAAGAAAAAAAGAAATTTTATGATTTACTCTTCTTCTAAACTCTACATATTTCCATAATTTTGAATCCTAAATTATAGCTCTTTGAAGATATCACACTGATTTAGTGCTATGGAAAGATAAGCGAAGCTATGTGATCTTCAAATAATTTACCAGATATTATTATTCTTATTTCAAGGCTGCTCTGAATTTGTGTTTGCAATGACTGAATGGAGATCTAGGCATCTCTAAATTTTCTAAGTATCTAAACATTTTGTAAATGTTTTCAGAACTATTGTGGTAATATTGGTGAATGTTAGGAGAAATGAGAAAGGGGAGAGAGAAGGAGCAAGACTTCAGAGAGGAGAAGGAAAAAAAGGAGGTAATGTAATGGCACAATAAGAGTAGCTTTTAATTATTTTATTAAAAAAATAATTTAGCCTTGAGAGAAAAAAAGACTTTGTAATTTAGCCTTTCCTCACTTAAAAATAAAACCCTTGGGAGAGAAAAAAGAAAAACAGAAATCAAAGAACATCTGAGTTTTGGTATTGTTTACTATGTCTGAAATGGAGTCAGAATGGAATGAAATTATTTGCTATGCATGATAAAGTTGGAGCTAAAGCTACGTAACCTTATGAATTGGGAAGAGTGAAGAGATTAAAACTGTTTCAAGATGTTCATGGGAAATATTTTACTCCCAAATAAACCAAACAGAACAGATTTTATGGAGGCTGTGCAAAGCTTTTTCTACATAATGTTATTCAATCGCTAGAAAGGATTCAGAAGATAATTTGAAATAGCATTTAAAAATGAATCCAAATAAAATCTACTTAAATATTTGTATAAACATGTATTCGATGACAGCACTATTATCTTATTGAGTAAATAGCCATCAAGGTTGTGGTAACTCACTATATACAAAACTTGCATTCAAATAATCATTGAAAACAAAACCAACTTTCCCTATGGTAATATCAATCATTGTGACAAAAATATAAGCGATCTCTCATTATATAGAAGATATTAATGTTGTTAAAACACTTAAATAGACCACGCAGAACTGTTATATAAATGATTAATAGATTTCTCAAAAGAAATTGCTTGTTATAGAAAAGGATTAAGAATAAGAAATAAAAAAATAATTTTGATTGAGCTAGGCAGAACAATATGGATTGAATATGTCAAGGAAAATGAGAAAGGGGATACTGCATATAGTCATTACTGGAATTTCACAAAACCCACCTACTCTAAGATGTCTTTCCCAGTGGCTTGCCTCAAAACTTATTTCCTTGGAGTAATTTCTTTGGATTAAATTCCTTTTTTTAGAACAATATTAGATTGTTTCAGATTACCAATTTTATTTTGGAATTGAAATGAAGAGCCCAAAGTTGTTGGGGCATCAGAAAATTTTAATTGAAAGGGGAAGAGATAAGTACAAGGACAGATTACAAAACAAAATAATTGTGTCTTGCTTTCTGCACAATCGGAGCATGTTTAGGTGATGTGCTTCCTTTGGAAGCTCTGTGAAGCTAGGGCGGTACCTAAGATGAAGGTTTACAATTACATAGAGGGTTTCAAAAGGAAGAAAATGATGACAAATTACTTACCTGGTGGTAGGGAAGAGCACTGTATTGTAAGTTGTACTCAAAACACCTGGCCTCTACTACTTGCTTTGCAATTTACAACCTTCCAGACCTTGAACAAATCACTTTACTTCTGAAATTCAGTTTCTTCATCTGTTAAATGACTACCTAATTTCTTAGGTCCCTTCTAGCCGAAATGGCGTACTTCTACTTCACAGCTTTCCCTAAAGCCTCTACTGTTGATAATGATATTTTCATTTATAAGTAAGAAAACTGAGAGGGCATAATAGTTAAGAAATTATTGAGAATTAATTAGGTATGTAAAACCCAAAACGGAAATAATTCTAGACTCTGGCTTTTTTCTTCCCAATGAAGTATTTTATCCAATACAGATGTGAAGTCTTACCAGGCTAAGTCATATTCCCCATTATAACTGAATTGCTTATCCATTTCCAACTTTTTGACACACAGTACTATAGACAATAATAAACTGGGTTGGTAAGTTTTTACTGCCAACAAATCTAGGGTATACTGCTGCTGTTATTGCTTATTGACGCTGTCTTTACAATCTATTAGGTTTATAAAAATGCTCAGAAAATATCTAGGGTCTGATTCATACCTTTCAGATGTTATTGAAAAATGATGTCAGATGTTTCTCTCAAAATGAGAGGAACTGACAATTTCCACACTTATTAGGTATTTTTATAATTCTGTTTTTTCTGATTTATTGGGTATATTTTGATTATGGTGCTTACATATTCAGGTATATCTCGTATGGAGAAAAATCATTACTAGACACATAAGAAAAAAATTGTACCATATGTCCAACTGGAACACGTTCCAGTCAGTTTCTTTCCCTAATATTTTTTGACCAAGAGTAAAGATAAAGTGCTTTATGCTTATGTGGAAAGTGACCCAGAGAAATTCTCCTTGACTAAGCTTGAGACACTATCCAAAGAACCAACCCAAGGTAAACCCAGAATTGGAAGGCGAAAAAAAGGCATTAGATTGAACACAAATTCCACAAGGCATGTGTAGAGGATAACAAAGTTATGGCAGGAATAGGTAGCTATAATGTAGGTTATTTACATTCCGGGAACCTCTTTGACAGTCAATGACACTAATGGACCTGAGAAATATTGTATTTTATTTCAACAAAGAGGTTTATTCTACTTCTACTTCCCTTTTCCTGCCCAAGGCTGATTCAGCAGAGCCACACTATTGAATGTGTATGAGGGGAAATAGCACTGATTTCTAGCTCCTGATCCTATCAGTTAAATAGAATTGCTAAAGCCAAGGATTTCTGAAAAATCAGGGTTCTAGAGGAGGTTAATTGACCACTTCAAAGGACATATCTGTTATCAAGAAAGAAGGTTAATATTCAATCTTTATATGACAACGTTTTAACATTAATGGTTCACTGTGGTAGATGCAAAGTGAAGCCCTTAGTCTCTGAGGACAATATTTTCTTTGCCTATAGCCACTCAATGGCAAACATCAAAACACTTCTCCAAGAGCTCCTACTTTAGAGAGCATGACTGACAATCAGCCCCAGTTGCTACACTCCGAAAGCAGTCACCCTTTAAAAGTTGAGGTCATGTTTCTCAGGAGCTTCTCCCAGCCAATGACTCAAAATAACAGTGTTACTAATGCAAGCAAGTCCATTCCTCAAAGTTACACTGGTTTCATAATATTAGCTGGAAAGTGCTCTCCCATTTTCTATGATCTGGCAGAGTTTGTAGAGGGTTAGCACTATCTATTTCTTCAGTGTTTTAAATGATTCATAAATAAAGTTATCTTGGCAAATGTATCTTTCTGTGGGGATATATAATTAATGAATTAGATTTATTTAATATAGTATTTCCTTAAGATTGATGTGTATATAGATCAACAGTGTTACTAATGGACTTGCATTAGTATAACACTGTTATTTTGAGTCATTGGCTGGGAGAAGCTCCTGAGAAACATGACCTCAACTTTTAAAGGGTGATTGCTTTCGGTGTGTAGCAACTGGGGCTGATTGTCAGTCATGCTCTCTAAAGTAGGAGCTCTTAGAGAAGTGTTTTTATGCTTGTTAAAATTTAGATACTGATTTAGTAGATTGGTGTGGGACCTAAGCATCTGCCCTTCTAACAAGATCTCAGGTGATGTCAATGTTTATTGGTGCAGACAGGACACTCAAGGAGGAAGACATTAATACACATGCCAATTCAAATTTTCTTTTATTGTGTATGCCAATTTTCATAATTTTTTTGGAAGTTTTTTATTTCATGTACATTGCCAATTTTTGGCATAAAAGGGATAAAAGAATATTATGAACAACTTTATGAATGCAAGATCTCTAGCAGTGTCTTCCTTTTCATTTTTGACAATGTATTTGTGTGTTTTCTCTGTTGAAAAAATTTAGTCAGTGTTTAGCATTAGTACTAGTATTATTATTATTATTATTTTTTGGAGATGGAGTTTCACTCTTGTCACCAAGGCTGGAGAGCAATAGCGTGATCCCGGCTTACTGCAACCTCTGCCTCCCAGGTTCAAGTGATTCTCCTGCTTCAGCCTCCTGAGTAGCTGGAATTATAGGCACCCACCACCATGCCAGGCTAATTTTTGTATTTTTAGCAGAGACGGAGTTTTACCATGTTGGCCAGGCTGGTCTCAAACTCCTGACCTCAGGTGATCTACCCGCCTCAGCCTCCCAAAGTGCTGGGATTGTAGTTGTGAGCCACCATGCCCGGCTACTATTATTACTTTTTTAAAAAATAAAATTTGTCTTTTTAATCCTCTTCATAGTTTTCTATTACATTACTTTATATTTCATTAATTTCTGAATTAATCTTAATTATGTTTTTCTTGCTGCATTTAATTTGGATTTAGTTCTTATTATCATACAAACATATTGAGTTGATTGCTTAGATCATTAATTTTCAACTCTTCTTTTCCAGTGAATACATTAATAGCTATGAATCCCCTCTATGTACAAATAAAACTGCCTGACATGTTTACTACGTCATATTTTTATCATTCAGAATGAAATATTTTCAGATTCTCATGGTGATTTCTTCTTACTGTCTTATTATAATGTTTCTTGCTTTAAAATATACATCATATATATGTGTGTGTGTATATATATATATATGTATAATTACACCAAGTTTGAAAAATTCTACTTGTATGGCATATCTTCTTTCATCCCTTTGCTTCCAATCCTTTGGTAGCCCTGTATTTAAGCTACGTATCTTGTAATCCACAAAAAAAGTTACTTAAAAATCCTACCTATTTTTGTGTTCTAATTAAAGTTTTAGTGTATTTATATTTAATGTAGTTACTAATATATTGGGGATTATACATACCATATTACCATTAGCTTTCTATTTGCTCCACATACTATATACATTTATCTTCTTTTCCTTTGTTGCCTTCTTTCAGATTAAGCATTTTTATTATTCCATTTTTCTCCCTCTGTTATCTTTTTAATTACAAGTCATTTTACTAGTGTTCTAGGAGTTATACCCTAGATATTAAAACAGGTGACTTTGATTTTCAAAATGCAAAGATGTGTAAAACATTTCAATTCTATTCATCCCCGTCTTCTCTGTTATGGTACTGTGCCATGTGTTTGGTTCTCTGTTTTTTAGTCATTGGATTTTTAAAATTTAATTATATTTTATTTCAATAATTTTTGGGGAACAGGTGGTTTTTGGTTAAATGGATAAGTTCCTTAGTAGTGATATCTGGGATTTTTGTGCACCCATCACCTGAGCAGTGTATGCTGTACCCAATGTGTAGTCTCTTATTTTTCACCCTACTCTCACCATTCCCCACAAGTCCCCAAAGTCCATTATATCATTCTTATGCCGTTGCATCCTGTTAGCTTCCACTTAACAGTGAGATCATATGATATTTGGCTTTCCATTCCTCAGTTACTTCACTTAGAAGAATGGTCTCCAATTCCATCCAGGTTGCTGCAAATTTCATTATTTTTTATGGCTGAGTAGTATCCCATAGTGTGTATATATCATATTTTGTTTGTCCACTCATTGGTTGATGGACATTTAGGCTGGTTCTATGTTTTTGCAATTGCAAATTGCGCTGCTATAAACATGTGTGTACAAGTGTCTTTTTCGTAAAATGACTTCTTTTTCTCTGGGTAGATACCCAGTAGTGGGATTGCTGAATCAAACTGTCGTTCTACTTTTAGTTCTTTAAGAAATCTCCATACTGTTTTCCATAATGGTTGCACTAGTTTGCATCCCCCCAGCAATGTAAAAGTGTTCCCTTTTCATCACATCCATGACAAAATATTTTTTTATCTTTAAATTATGGCCATTCTTGCAGGATTAGGGTGGTGTCACATGCTGGTTTTTATTTGCATTTCCCTGATGATTAGTGATGCTGAGCATATTTTTATGTTTGTTGGACATTTGAACATCTTCTTTTGAGAATTGTATATTCATGCCATTTGCCCACATTTTGATAAGATTATTTGTTTCTTTTCTAACTGATTTGTATGAGTTTTTGTATATTCTGGATATTAGTCCTTTGTCAGATGTTTATTTTGTGAATATTTTCTTCCATTCTGTGGTTTATCTGTTCGCTGACTAATTCTTTTGTTGTGCAGAAGCTTTTTAGTTTAATTATATCCCACCTATTTATTTTTGTTTTTTTTTTTACATTTGATTTTTTGAGATTTTACCACATATTTATCCCCTCCATTCCTGTTGTTTCTTACATCTCTGTGCTTCTCTCATCAAGGATCAACATCTTTCTGCATAAATAACTCAAATTAGTATTTTTTTCTGGTCTGATAGTCTGTTAGATTTTTTTGTCAAAGATGTTCATAAACCTAAGTTGTTTATAACATTAAGTTGTGATTTATAACCTTTTCTGAGTATGGAACTTTAGACTGGTGATTTTTTTCAGTACTCTCGAATAGTAAAATTTCTGACATATTTTAAGATGGTTTATTTATTATTTGCATTAAGGTGTTTTACTTTGATATCCAATGGTGGTGTTTTCTTTTCCAGTTCATAATGCTATTCATCTTTTTGGAAATTGCCATTTTAATTATTACTTTATTTTTTCTTTTTAAATCAAGTTACTTTTTTCCTATTTACAGAACTCAGTGTTCAATTAGGGTTTAATTCAGCTTTTATTATACGTTCAGGGGTTACAAGTGCATGCAACTTTGATACAAAGGTGTATAGCATAGTGCTGAGTTTTGAGGTACAAATGAGTCTCTCTTCCAGGTAGTGAGCATAGTTCCCAATAGGTAGTTTTTCAGCCTTTTCCCTTTTATCTCACCCTCCTGTATTCCCCATTGTGTATTATTCTCATCTTTATGTCCATGTATACTCGATGTTTAGCTCTGACTTATAAGTGAGGATATGTAGTATTTGGGTTTTTGCTCTTGTATTAATTTGCTTATGATTATGCCTGCCAGTGGCACCCATGTTGTTGCAGAAAATATCATTTCATTCTTTTATATGATTGCATAGTAGTCCATGGTGTACAGGTACCACATTGTATTTATCCAGTCCAGAGTTGATGGGCACCTGGGTTGATTCCATGTGTTTGGTATTGTGAATAGAGCTATAATGAATATATTGGTGCATATGACTTTTTGGTAGAACGACAAAAACCATATGACCATCTTAATAGATGCAGAAGAAGGTCCATACAATTTAACATCTTCTCATGCAAAATAGTCACTGAAAGAACATACCTCAAAATAATAAGATCATCTATGAGAAACCTGTAGCCAAAATCATACTGAATGGGCAACAGCTGAAAGCCTTCCCCTTTAGAACTAGAACAAGACAAAGATGCTCACTCTCACAACTTGTATTCTACATAGTAATGGAAATCCAAGCCAGAGATAACGGGCAAGAGAATTAAAATACATCCAAATAGAAAAAGAAAAAATCAAAGTATCTGTCTTTACTGATAATAAAATTCTATACACAAAAAACCCAAAAGACCCTGGCAAAAGGCTCCTAGAACTGACAAACAACTACAGTAAAGATTAAATGATACAAAACCAATGTTAAAAGGGTAGCATTTCTATACACCAGTAGTATTCAAGCTGAGAGCCAAATTAAGAACACAGTACCATTTACAACAGCCACAAAAACAAGAAAATGCCTAGGAATACAGAAATAAAGGCAGGTTAAAGATCTCTACAATAAGAATTACAAAACACTGCTGAAACAGATCAGAGATGACACAAACAAATGGAAGAATATTTTATGTTCATGGATAAGAAGAATCAATATGGCTAAAAGGGACATACTGCACAAAGGAATCTACATATTCAACCCTATTCCTATCAAACTACCAATATCAAGTTTCACAGAGTTTTAAAAAACTATTCTAAAATTCATATGGAACCAACAAATAGTCCAAATAGCCAAAACAATTCTATGTAAAAAGAACAAAGCCAGAGGAATCACATTACCTGACTTCAAACTACACTACAAAGCTACTGTAACCAAAACAGCATAGTAGTGGTACAGAAACAAACATGTAGACCGAGGAAGCAAAATACAGGACCCAGACATAAAGCTGCACACCTACAACCATCTGATCTTCAATGAAATTGTCAAAAATAAACAGTGGAGAAAAAAATTTTTATTCAATAAATGGTTCAGGGATAACTGGCTAGGCATATGTAGAATAATAAAACTCGACCTCTACCTTTCATCATATGCAAAAAATAAGTTACAATAAATTAGACACATAAATATTAGGCTTCAAATTATAGAAATTCTAGAAGACAATGTAGAAAATATCCTTCTTGATACTTGCCTTGGCAAATAATTTTTGGCTGAGTCCTCAAAAGTAATTGCAACAAGAACGAAAATTGAGAAGTGGGACCTAATTATACTAAGGAGTTTCTTCACAGAAAGAGGAACTATCAAAAGAGAAAAGAGACCACCTATAGAATGTGAAAAAATATTCACAAACTATTCATCTGACAAAGATCTAATATCCAGAATCTATAAAGAACTTAAAAATTTCCACAAACAAAAACAAATAACCCTATTAAAAAGTGGTTTTGGCCTTAAAGATGAGGTAGAGGAAGAGTTGAGGTGGAAAGTTTATAGAAAGGGATAATAACAAAAAAGTTCCCAAACCTAGAGGAGTATATCAATATCCAAGTACAAGGGGGTTATAGAACACAAAACAGATATAATTCAAAGAAGACTGCCCCCAAGGCATTTAACAATCAAGCTCACAAATATCAAGACCTAACAAAGGGGTCAATTCAGCAAGAGGATGCAACAACTATAAATATATATCCACCCAACACTGGAGCACCCAGATATAAAGAGCAAACATTTTTAGCACTAAAATCAGATACCAACCTCAATACAGTTACAGCAGGAGACTTCAAAACCCCACTTTCAGCATTGGACAAATATTCCTGACAGAAAATCAATAAAGAAACAATAAACTTAATCTGCACTCTAGACCAAATGCATGTAATAGATATTTACACAATATTTTATCCAACAACTGAAGAATACACATTCTTTACCTCAGCATTTGGATAATTCACAAAGACAGACCATATATTAGGATACAAAGCAAGTCTAAAATATTTTAAATATTTAGCATATCCTTTAGAATAATATCAAGCATTTTTTCTGACCACAATGAAATAAAACTAGAAACCAATAATGAGGGAGGAATTTTGGAAAGTATGCAGACATGTGTAAGGTAAAAAAAAATGCCCCTTAGAAGGAAATAAAGGGTATTCAATTAGGAAAAGAGGAAGTCAAATTGTCCCTGTTTGCAGACGATATGATTGTATATCTAGAAAACCCCATTGTCTCAGCCCAAAATCTCCTTAAGCTGATAAGCAACTTCAGCAAAGTCTCAGGATACAAAATCAATGTACAAAAATCACAAGCATTCTTATACACCAACAGCAGACAAACAGAGAGCCAAATCATGAGTGAACTCCCATTCACAATTGCTTCAAAGAGAATAAAATACCTAGGAATCCAACTTACAAGGGATGTGAAGGACCTCTTCAAGGAGAACTACAAACCACTGCTCAATGAAATAAAAGAGGATACAAAGAAATGGAAGGACATTCCATGCTCATGGGTAGGAAGAATCAATATCATGAAAATGGTCATACTGCCCAAGGTAATTTACAGATTCAATGCCATCCCCATCAAGCTACCAATGACTTTCTTCACAGAATTGGAAAAAACTACTTTAAAGTTCATATGGAACCAAAAAAGAGCCTGCATCGCCAAGTCAATCCTAAGCCAAAAGAACAAAGCTGGAGGCATCACACTACCTGACTTCAAACTATACTACAAGGCTATAGTAACCAAAACAGCATGGTACTGGTACCAAAACAGAGATATAGATCAATGGAACAGAACAGAGCCCTCAGAAATAATGCCACATATCTACAACTATCTGATCTTTGACAAACCTGAGAATAACAAGCAATGGGGAAAGGATTCCCTATCTAATAAATGGTGCTGGGAAAACTGGCTAGCCATATGTAGAAAGTTGAAACTGGATCCTTTCCTTATACCTTACACAAAAATGAATTCAAGATGGATTAAAGACTTAAACGTCAGACCTAAAACCATAAAAACCCTAGAAGAGCACCTAGGCTTTACCATTCAGGACATAGGCATGGGCAAGGACTTCATGTCTAAAACACCAAAAGCAATGGCAACAAAAGCCAAAATTGACAAATGGGATCTAATTAAACTCAAGAGCTTCTGCACAGCAAAAGAAACTACCATCAGAGTGAACAGGCAACCTACAAAATAGGAGAAAATTTTTGCAACCTACTCATCTGACAAAGGGCTAATATCCAGAATCTACAATGAACTCAAACAAATTTACAAGAAGAAAACAAACAACCCCATCAAAAAGTGGGCAAAGGACATGAACAGACACTTCTCAAAAGAAGACATTTATGCAGCCAAAAAACACATGAAAAAATGCTCACCATCACTGGCCATCAGAGAAATGCAAATCAAAACCACAATGAGATACCATCTCACACCAGTTAGAATGGCAATCATTAAAAAGTCAGGAAACAACAGGTGTTGGAGAGGATGTGGAGAAATAGGAACACTTTTACACTGTTGGTGGGACTGTAAACTAGTTCAACCATTGTGGAAGTCAGTGTGGCGATTCCTCAGGGATCTAGAACTAGAAATACCATTTGACCCAGCCATCCCATTACTGGGTATATACCCAAAGGACTATAAATCATGCTGCTATAAAGACACATGCACACGTATGTTTATTGCGGCATTATTCACAATAGCAAAGACTTGGAACCAACCCAAATGTCCAACAAGGATAGACTGGATTAAGAAAATGTGGCACATATACACCATGGAATACTATGCAGCCATAAAAAATGATGAGTTCATGTCCTTTGTAGGGACATGGATGAAGTTGGAAATCATCATTCTCAGTAAACTATCACAAGAACAAAAAACCAAACACCGCATATTCTCACTCATAGGTGGGAATTGAACAATGATATCACATGGACACAGGAAGGGGAACATCACACTCTGGGGACTGTTGTGGGGTGGGGGGAGGGGGGAGGGATAGCATTCGAGATGTACCTAAAGCTAGATGACGAGTTAGTGGGTGCAGCGTGCCAGCATGGCACATGTATACACATATGTAACTAACCTGCACAATGTGCACATGTACCCTAAAACTTAAAGTATAATAATAAAAAAAAATATGCTCCTGAATGACCAGGGCATCAAAAAAATTAAGAAGGAAATTTAAAAAATTCTCACAACAAATAATGATGAAAACACAACATGTCAAAACCTGTGAAATACAGCAAAAGCAGTAGTCAGAGGGAAGTTTATAGCTATGAGTACCTACATAAAAAAAACTTCAAATAAAAAAATGATGGATTTTAAAGAAATAAAAAAGAGTTAACCAAACTCTAAATTACTAAAAGAAAGAAATAGTAAAGATCAGAGACAAAATAAATGAAAATGAAATGATGATACAATAAAATAGCTCAATAAAACAAAAACTTGATTGTTTGAAAAGTTAAACAAAATAAACACACCTTTAGCTATAAAAAGGAGAAAAGACCCAAATAAAAAACAATCAGAGATGAAAAAGATAACATTGCAACTGATACTTTAGAAAATGAAAGAATTATTAGTGGGTGCTATGAACAACTATATGCCAATAAATTGGAAAATCTATAAGAAATGGACAAGTTTCTAGACAAACACAACCCACCAATATTGAACCAGCAAGAAATCCAAAACCTGAACAGACTAATAACAAGTAATGGATTCAAAGCCATAATAAAAAGTTTTCCAGTAAAGAAAAGCCTGGGACCTGACGACTTCACTGCTGAATGCTACCAAACATTTAAGAAATAATAATACCAGTCCTTCCCAGACTATTCTGAAAAGAGGAGAAGACTATATTACAAACTCATTCTACAAAGCCAGTGGTACCCTGATACTGAAACTAGACAAAGACACGTCAAATAAAGAAAACAACCAGCCAATATCTCTGATGAATTTTGATGCAAAAATTCTGAACAAAACACTATCAAATGGAATTTAACAATACAGTAAAAAGATTTTTCATCATGACCAAGTGGAATTCATCTCTAGAATGAAAGGATGGTTCAACATATGCAAATTAATCAATGTGATACATCATATCAACTAAATGAAGGATAAAATTCATGTGATCATTTCAATTGATGCTGAAACATCATTTGATAAAATTCAACATCCCTTCATGATAAAGATCCTCAAGAAACTAGGTATAGCAGGAACACATTCAACATAGTACAAGCCATAGAAGACAAACTCACAGCCAGTATCATATTGCATTCAGAGATACTGAAAGAAATTTGTCTAAGGTTTGGAACACAACAAGAATGCCTACTTTCACCAATATTATTCAACATATTACTGGGAGCCCTAGATGGAGCAATCAAACAAGTGAAAGATAAAAGTGGGACTCAAATTGGAACAAAAGAGGTAAAATTATCTTTGCTTGAAGACAATATAATAGTATATTTGGATATTTGGAAAAACCTAAAGACATTACCAAAAACTATTAGAACTGTTAAACAAATTTGATAAAGTTTCAGTATACCAAGTAAACATACACCAATCAGTAGCATTTCTACATACCAACAGTGAAGAATCCGAAAAAGAAATTAAAAATAATCCATTTTAAAATAGCCACAAATAAAATTAAATACCTAAAAATTAACTTAACCAAGTAAGTGAAAGATCTCTACAATGAAAAGTTACAAAACATTGATAAAAGAAATTGAAGGGGACACCACAAAGTGGAACAATATTCTATGTTTATGGGTTGGAAAAGTCAATATTGTTAAATATCCATACTACCCAAAGCAATCTAAAGATTCAATGCAATCTCTACAAAGATACCAATGACGTTCTTTCACAGAAATAAAAAAAAAAATCTAAAATTTATATGGAACAACAAAAGATCCAAAAACAGCCATAGTTATCCTAAGCAAAAATAACATATTACCTGACTTTACATTATACTATAGAGCTATAGTAACCAAAACAGCATGGTACTGACATAAAAACATACACATAGACAATGAAACAGAATAGAGGATCCAGAAATAAATACACACACCTACAGTAAATTTATTTTTGACAAAAGTTCTAAGAACATACACTAGGTAAAAGATAATTTCTTCAATAAATGGTGGTGAAAAAAACTGGATATTCATATGAAGCAGAAAGAATATTGACCCCTATCTATAGTCATATATAAAAGTCAAATCAAAGTCAATTAAATAATTAAATCTAACACCTCAAACTATGAAACTGCTATTAGACTATTTTGGGTAAACTCTCTAGGACATTGGTCTGGGTAAAAATTTCTTGAGTAATACCCCACAAGCACAGGCAAAGTGAAAATGGTCAACTGAAATCACATCAAGGTAAAAAGATTCTGCACAGCAAAGGAAACAATAAAGATAAGAGACAACATACAGAATGGAAGAAGATATTTGCAAACTATCTATCTGAGAAGGGATTAATAAACAGAATGTATAAAAAGCTCAAACAACTGTATAGGAAAAAATGGAAAACTTTGATTATAAAATGGGCAAAAGACTTTAATAGATATTTCTCAAAAGAGGACATACAAATGGAAAACAGGCATATGTAATGGTGCTCAGCATCATTGATCATCAGAGTAATACAAATCAAAATTACAATGAGATATCATCTCATCCCAGTTAAAATGGCTTATATCTAAATGACAGGCAATAACAAATGTTGGCAAGGATGTAGAGAAAAGGGAACCCTTGCACACTGTTGGTGGGAATGTAAATTAGTACAACCACTATGAAGAACAGTTTGCAGGTTCCTCAAATAACTAAAAGTAGAGCTACCATACAATCCAGCAATGCCACTGCAGGGTATATACTAAAGGGAAAAAAAAGGAAATCAATATATCAAAGAGATAGCTGTACTCCTGTTTGTGGCAGCGCTATTCACAATAGCCAAAAATTGGAAGCAACCTAAGCGTCCATCAGCAGATGAATGGATAAAGAACGTGTGGTATCTATACACAATGGTGTACTATTCAGGCATAAAAAATTGAGATCCTGTCTTTTTCAACAACATGGATAAAATTGGAAGTCATTATGTTAAGTAAAATAAGTCAGACTGATAAAGACAAACATTTCATGTTTCCCACTTATCTGTGAGATGTGAAAATTTAAAAATTGAACTCATAGATATGGAAAGTAGAAGAATTGTTACTAGATGCTGTGAAGGGTAGTGGGGATGTGGGAGTGAGTTGGAGGTGGTTAATAGGAACAAATGAGGAATACCTCATATTTAATAGTGCAACGGAGTGACTATGGTCAATAATAATTTAATTGTAAATTTTAAGACAACTAAAAGAGTATAATTGGATTGTTTGTAACACAAAGGATCAGTGCTGAAGTGATGAATATCCCATTTTCAGTAGTGTTATTATTAAATATTACATGACTGGATAAAAACATCTCATGTATCTTTTAAATATATGAATACCTACTATGTATTCACAAAAATTTAAAAATTAAAAAAATCTATTGCTAAATGCAAGGTCATATATATTTACCCCTATTGTTTTTTTTTCTAAAATTTTTGTTTTTAACTCATATTTAGGTAAATTACCCATTTTTAAAATTATACTTTAAGTTCTGGTATGCATGTGCAGAACCTGCAGGTTTGTTACATAGGTATAAACGTTCCATGGTGGCTTGCTGCACCCATCAACCCGTCATCTACATTAGGTATTTCTCCTAATGTTATCCCTCCCCTAGCCCCCACCCCCTGACAAACGCTGGTGTGTGATGTTCCCCTCCTTGTGTCCATGTGTTCGCATTGTTCAACTCCCACTCATGAGTTGAGAACATGTGGTGTTTGGTTTTCTGTTCCTGCATTAGTTTGCTGAGAATGATGGTTTCCAGCTTCATCTATGTCACTGAAAAGGACATGAACTCATCTTTTTTTATTGCTGCATAGTATTCCATGGTGTATATGTGCCACATTTTCATTATCCAGTCTATCATTGATGGACATTTGGGTTGGTTCCAAGTCTTTGCTATTGTGAATAGTGCTGCAATAAACATACGTGTGCATGTGTCTTTATAGTAGAATGATTTATAATCCTTTGGTTATATACCCAGTAATGGGATTGCTGGGTCAAGTGGTATTTCTGGTTCTAGATCCTTGAGGAATTGCCACACTGTCTTCCACAATGGTTGAACTAATTTACACTCCCACCAACAGTGTAAAAGTGTTCCTATTTCTCCACATCCTCTCCATCATCTGTTGTTTCCTGACTTTTTAATGATCACCATTCTAACTAGCATGAGATGGTATCTCATTGTGGTTTTGATTTGTATTTCTCTAATGACCAGTGATGATGAGCTCTTTTTCATATGTTTGTTGGCTGCATAAATGTCTTCTTTTGAGAAGTGTCTGTTCATATCCTTCACCAGATTTTTGACGGGGTTGTTTGTTTTTTTCTTGTAAATTTGTTTAAGTTCCTTGTAGGTTCTGAATTTATCCATTTTCAGTTTTTTATGCTGTGTGAGGTCGAAGTACATCATTCTTTTGTGTATAAAATATAGTTATGCCAGCATCATTTGTTGAAAAGACTATTGTTTTCTTATCAAATGCACTTGTCATTCAGTTAAAAATTCATTTGCACATTGAGGTACTGGTTTATTTCTGTATTCTCAATTTTATTATATTTGTTTATATTACTATCCTCATGCCTGTAATCACTGTTTTGATTACTGTAGGTATTTATATTAAATTTTGAAATGTGGAATAGTGTGACTTCTGCCTTTGTTCTTCTTTTTCAAGATTGTTTTTGTCTATTTGAGCCTTTTGTAATTCCATATGAGTTTGATGATCAGCTTTTCCATTTCTGAAAAAAAGTAGGAATTTTTTATAGGGATTGCATTGAATCTGTAGGTCACTTTGAGTAGTGTTGGCATATAGAAAATATTACATCTCCCTATCCATGTTTACAGGATGCCTTTCCCTTTATTTAAGCCTTTTGAAATTTATTTTAGCAAGGTTTTCTAGTTTTCAGTGTATACATCTTTTATCTACTTGGTAAAAATCGTAAGTAAGGATTATTCTATTATAATAGATAATTGTAAATGGAATTTAAAATTTTATTTTCAGATTGTTCATTGCGGTATTCTAAAAACACAATTGATTTTAGTTTATTGACCTTGTATTCTGCAACTTTGCTGTACTCATTTATTAGCTCTAGTAACTTTACTGTGTGTTCTTTGGGATTTTCTCTACCGAAAAAAATTTCATCTGAAAATAGAAATAAATTAACTTTTTATTTTCCAATTTGGAAGTTTTTTACTCTTATTTTAGGTTCAGGAGTACACGTAAATGTTTTTCATGTAGGTAAACTTGTGTCAAGGGGGTTTGGTGTACGCATTATTTTATTGCCTAGGTGCTAATTCTAGTACCCGGTAGGTATTTTTTCCTGCTCCTCTCCCTTTTCTTACCCTCCTCCCTCATGTAGGCCTCAGTTTCTGTTGTTTCCTTCTTTGTATCCATGAGTTTTCATCATTAGCTGTCACTTCTAAGTGAGAACTTATGGTATTTGGTTTTCTGTTCCAGTGTTAGTTTGCTAAGGATAATGGCCTCCAGCTCCATCCATGTTCCCACAAAAGACATGATCTCATTCTTTTTATGACTGCATAGTATTCCATGGTGTCTATGTACCATATTTCCTTTATCCAGTCTGTCATTTGTGGGCACGTAGGTTGATTCCACATTATTGAAATTCTGAATAGTGTTGCAGTGAACAATCTCATCCATGTGTCTTTACAGTAGAATAATTTATATTCCTCTAGGTATGTACCCAGTAATGGGGTTGCTAGATTGAATGGTAGTTCTGTTTTTGGCTCTTGAGGAATCATCACACTGCTTTCCACAATGGCTGAGCTAATTTACAATCCAACCAACAGTGTATAAGCGTTCCTTTTCTCCACAACGTAACCAGAATCTGTTATTTTTGGCTTTTTAATAATTACCATTCTTATTGGTGTGAGATGGAATCTCATAGTGGTTTTAGAGAAATTTGCATTTCTCTAATAATAATCAGTGATATTGATATTGAGCGTTTTAATATACTTGTTGACTGCCTGTAGATCTCCTTTTGAAAAGTGTCTGTTCATCTCCTCTGCTTACTTTTTAAAGGGTTTTTTTCTTGTAAATTTATTTAAGTTCTTTATAGAATCGAGATTTTAGACATTTTTTCAGATGCATAGTTTGTGAATATTTTCTTCCATTCTGTAGGTTGTCTGTTTATTCTTCTGATAGTTTATTTTGCTGTGCAGAAGCTCTTAAGTTTAATTAGATTCTATTTGTCAATTTTTGCTTTTGTTGCAATTGTTTTTAAAGTCTGTCATAAAATCTTTGCCTGGGCCCATGTTTAGAATGGTATTGCCTAGGTTTTCTTCCAGAGCTTTTATAGTTTTGAATATTACATTTAAGTTTTTAATCCATCTTGAGTTGATTTTTGTATGTGGTGTAAGGAAAGGGTCCAGTTTAAATCTTCTGCATATGGGTAACCAGTTATCCCAGTACCATTTGTTGAATAGTGAATCCTTTCCCCATTGCTTCTTTTTGTCAGCTTTGTCAAAGATGAGATGGTTGTAGGTGTGCAGTCTTATTCCTGGGCTATCCTTTCTGTTCCATTTTTCTATGTTTATGTTTCTGTATCAGTACCATGTTGTTTTGGTTAAGTTAGCCCTGTAGTGTATTATTTTATTTTATTTTGAGTTTCAGGATACATGTGCAGGATGTACAGGTTACATAGGTAAACATGTGCTATGGTGATTTGATGCATCTATCAACCCATCACCTAGGTATTAAGCCCAGCATACATTCTCTCTTTTTCCTGATACTCTCACTCTCTCCACACCCCCAACAGGCCCCAGTGTGCATTGCTTTCCTCCCTGTGTCTATGGCTTCACATTGTTCAGCTCCTACTTGTAAGTGGGAACATGCGGTGTTTGATTTACTGTTCCTGCATTAGTTTGCTGAGAATAATGGCTTTCAGCTCCATCCATGTCCCTGCAAAGGACATGATCTCATTCATTTTATGATTGCATAATATTCCATGGTGTATATGTACCACATTTTCTTTATCCAGTCTATTATTGATGGGCATTTGGTTTGATTCCATTTTTTGTTGCTATTGTGAAGGGTGCTGTAATGAACATACATGTTCATGTATCTTTATAATACAATGATTTATATTCCTTAGGGTATATAACCAGTAAGAGAATTGCTGGATCAAATGGTGTTTCTAGTTCTAGGACTTTCAGGAATCACCACCCTGTCTTCCACAATGGTTGAACTAATTTACATTACCACCAACAGTGTAAAAGTGTTCCTATTTATCTGCAGTCTCGCCAGCATCTGTTGTTTCTTGACTTTTTAATAATCACCATTCTGACTGGCGAGTGATTGTGATGGTATCTCATTATGGTTTTGATTTGCATTTCTCTAATGATCAGTGATGTTGAGCTTTTTTTTTTCATATGTTTCTTGGCCACATAAATGTCTTCTTTTCAGAAAAGTGTCTGTTCATGTCCTTTGCTCACTTTTTGATGGGGTTGTTTGTTTTTTTCTTGTAAATTTCTTTAAGTTCCTTTAAGTTCTGGATATTAGACTTTTGTCAGATAGATAGATTATAATTTTTTCCCATTCTCTAGGTTGTTTGCATCTAAAGATAGTTTCTGTTTGCATCCAATGGTAGTTTCTTTTGATGTGCTGAAGCTCTTTAATTAGATTTCATTTGTCATTTTTTGCTTTTGTTGCAGATGCTTTTGACGTTTTCGTCGTAAAATCTCTGCCTGTGCCCATATCCTGAATGGCATTGCCTATATTTCCCTCTAGGGTTTTTATAGTTTTAGGTTTTACATTTAATTCTTCAACCCATCTTGAGTTAATTTTTGTATAAGGTGTAAGGAAGGGGTCCAGTTTCAATTTTCTGCATATTTCTAGCCAGTGCTCCCAGCACCATTTATTAAATAGGAAATCATTTCACCATTGCTTGTTTTTGTCAGGTTTGTCAAAGATCAAATGTTTTTATATGTGTGGTCCCATTTCTGAGTTTTCAATTCTGTTCCATTGGTTTATGTGTCAGTTTTTGTACCAGTCATATGCTGTTTTGGTTACTGTAGCCTTGTAGTGTAGTTTGAAGTTAGGTAGCATGATGCCTACAGCTTTGTTGTTTTGCTTAGGATTGTATTGGCTATATGTGCTCTTTTTGGGTTATATGAGTTATAAAATAGTTTTTTTTCTAATTCTGTGAAGAAAGTCAATGGTAGCTTGATGGGGATAGCATTGAATCTATAAATTACTTTGAGCAGTATGTCCATTTTCACGATATTGATTCTTCCTATCCATGAGCATGGAATGTTCTTCCATTTATCTGTGTCCTCTCTGATTTCCTTGAGCAGTGGTTTGTAGTTCTTCTTGAAGAGTTCCTTTACATCCCTTGTTAGCTGTATTCCTAGGTATTTTATTCAATTTGTATCAATTGTGAATGGGAGTTCATTCATGACTGTGCTCTCTGCTTGTCTGTTGTTGGTGTATATGAATGCTTGTGATTTTTGCACATGGACTTTGTATCCTGAGACTTTGCTGAAGTTGTGTATCAGCTTAAGAAGCTTTTGGGCTGAGACTATGGGGTTTTCTAGATATAGGATCATGTCATCTGCAAACAGAGATAATTCGACTTCCTCTCTTCCTACTTGAATACAGTGTATTTCTTTCTCTTGGCTTATTGTCCTGGCCAGAACATTTAATACTATGTTTAATCAGACTGCTGAGAGTGAGAGAGGGCATCCTTGTCTTGTGCTGGTTTTCAAGGGGAATGTTTGTAGCTTTTGCTCATTCAGTGTGATGTTACCTGTAGATTTGTCATAAATTGCTCTTATTATTTTGATGTATGTTCCTTCAATACCCAGTTTATTGGAAGTTTTTAACATGAAGGGATGTTAAATTTTAGCAAAGACCTTTTCTGCATCTATTGAGATTATCTTTTTTTGTCTTTAGTTTTGTTTATGTGATAAATTACAGTTATTGATTTGCCTATGATGAACTAGCCTTGCATCCTGGAGATACAGCCGACGTCATCATGGTGGATTAGCTTTTTGATGTGTTGCTGGATTCGGTTTGCCAGTATTTTATTGAGGATTTTTGCATCAATGTTTCTCAGGGATATTGGCCTGAAGTTTTCTTTTTTTTGTTGTATGTGTGCCAAGTGTTGTTATGAGAATGATGCTAGCCTCATAAAATGACTTACGGAGGAGTGCCTCCTTTTCAATTGTATGGAATAGTTTCAGAAGAAATAGTACCAGTACAGCCTTTGTACCTGTGGTAGAATTCAGCTGTAAATCCATCTGCTTCTGGCTTTTTTGGTTGGCAGGCTATTTATTACTGCCTCAATTTTAGGATGTGTTATTGTTGTAGTCAGGGATTCAACTTCTTGGTTCAGTCTTGGGAGGGTGTATGTTTCCAGGAATTTACTCATTTCTTCTGTATTTTCTAGTTAATTTGCATATAGGGGTTTATTGTATTCTCTTATCTTTTTTTTTATTTCTGTGGTGTCAGTGGTGATGTCTCTTTTTTTTTTATTGTGTCTATTTGATTTTTCTCTCTTTACTTTTTCGTTAGTCTAGCTAGTGGTGTATCTACTTTATTAAACTATTTTATTTAAAAAACCCAGCTCCTGAATTCATTAATTTTTTGAAGGATTTGTGTGTGTGTGTGTGTGTGTGTGTGTGTGTGTGTGTGTGTTTCTTTCTCTTTCAGTTCCACTCTGATCTTGATTATTTCTTCTGCCATCTTTGGGGCTTTGGGGGCGTCTTTTGCTCTTGGTTTTCTATTTCCTTTAGTTGTGATGTTATTGGTGTTGATTTGAGATCTTTGTACTTTTTTGATGTTGGCGTTTATTGCTATAAATTTTCCTTTTAACACTACTTTAGCTGTGTCCCAGAGATTCTGGTACGTTGTCTCTTTTTTCTCATTACTTTCAAAGAACTTCTTGATTTCTTTCTTAATTTCATTATTTACATAGGAGTCATTCGGTAGCAGGTTGTTCAATTTCTATGCAGTTTTATAGTTTTGAGTTTCTTAATGTTGAATTCTAATTTGATTGTACTGTGATCTGAGATACTGTTATTTCAGTTCTTCTGTATTTGCTAAGTGGTTGACTTTTAATTATGTGATCAATTTTAGAGTAAGTGCTATGTGGCACCAAGAAGAATGTATATTTTGTTGTTTTGGGGCAGAGAGTTTTGTAGATATTTATCAGGCCCACTTGATCCAGATCTGAGTTCAAGTCCTGAATATCCTTGTTAAATTTCTATCTCGATGATCTGTCTAATATTGACATCAGGTGTCAAAGTCTCACACTATAATTGTGTGGGAGTCTAAGTCTCTTCGTAAGTCTCTAAGAACTCGTTTTATGAAACTGGGTGCTCCTGCATTGGGTGTATATATATTTAGGATAGTTAGCTCTTCTTGTTAAATTGAACTCTTTACGATTATGTAATGCCTTTCTTTGTCTTTTTTGATCTTTGTTGGTTTAAAGTCTGTTTTGTCAGAAACTAAGATTGCAACTCCTGCTTTTTTCTGCTTTCCATTTGCTTGGTAAATTTTCCTCCATCCCTTTATTTTGAGCCTACTTGTGTCGTTGCATGTCAGATGCATCTCTTGAATACAGCACACCAATGTATCTTGACTCTATCAAATTTGCCAGCCTATGTCTTAATTGGGGCATTTAACACATTTACATTTAAGGTTAATATTGTTAGGTGTGAATTTGGTCCTGTTTTAATGATGGTAGCTGGTTATTTTGCACACTAGTTGATGCAGTTTTTTCATAATGTCATTGGTCTTTGTACTTCAGTGTGTTTTTGCAGTGACTGGTACTATTTTTTCCTTTCCATATTTAGTGCTTCCTTCAGGAGCTCTTGGAAGGCAAGCCTTGTAATGATGCATTCCCTCAGCATTTGCTTGTCTGAAATGGATTTTATTTCTCCTTCACTTAATGAAGCTTAGTTTGGCTGAATATGAAATTCTGGGTTGGAAATTCTTTTCTTTAGGAATGTTAAATATTGGCCTCCACTCTTTTCTGGCTTGTAGGGTTTCTGCTAAGAGATCTGCTGTTAGTCTGATTGGCTTCCCTTTGTAGGTGACCTGCCCTTTCTCTCTGGCTGCCCTTAACATTTTTTCCTTAATTTCATTTTTATTAATTTATTTCATTTTCCTTAATTACATTGGAGGATCTGATAATTATGTGTCTTGGGGTTCATCTTGTCTTGGAATATCTTACTGGAGTTTTCTGCGTTTTCTGAATTTGAATGTTGGCCTGTCTTGCTAGGTTGTTGAAGTTCTCCTGGAAGATACCCTGAAGTGTGTTTTCCAACTTGGTTCCAGTCTCCCCATCTCTTTCAGGTACTCCAATCAGTCGTAGGTTCTGCCTTTTCATATAATCCCATAGTTTTCAGAGGGTTTGTTTGTTTCTTTTTATTCTTTTTTTTCTAATATGGTCTGCCTGACTTATTTCAGCAAGATAGTCTTCAAGCCCTGAGATTCTTTTCTCTGCTTGGTTTATTTGACTATTAATACCTGTGGTTTAATTGTGACATTCTTGTATTTTTCAGCTTCATCAGGTCATTTAAGTTCCTCTCTAAACTGGTTATTCTGGTTAACAGCTCCTGTAATGTTTTATCATAGTTCTTAGCTTCTTGGGATTGGGTTAGAACATATTCCTTTAGCTCAGTGAAGTTTGTTATTATCCACCTTCTGAAGCTTAATTCTGTCAGTTCATCCATCTCAGCCTCAGCCCTGTTCTGTGCCCTTGCTGGAGAGGTTTTGCAATAATTTGCAAGAGAAGAGGCACTCTGGCTTTATGAGTTATCAGCATTTTGTGTTGATTCTTTTTCATCTTCTTGAGCTTATCTACCTTCAATCTTTGAGGCTGCTGACCTTTGGATGGGATTTTTGTGGGGTCTTTTGTTGTTGATGTTGTTTCTTTCTTTTTGTTTGTTTTTCTTTGAACAGTCAGGCCCCTCTTCAATTGGGCTGCTGCAGTTTGCTGGGGGACCACTGCAGACCTTATTTGCCTCAGTCCCTCCTTTACCTGGAGGTGTCACCAGTGATTGCTGCAGAACAGCAAAGGTGGCTGTCTGCTCCTTCCTCTGGGAGCTCTGTTCCAGAGGGGCACCGACTTGATACCACCTAGAATGCTCCTGTATTAGGTGTCTGGAAACCCCTGTTGAGAGTTCTCACCCAGTCAAGAGGCATGGGTTCAGGGACCTGCTTAATAAATCACTCTGGCTGTCTCTCAGTGGAGCAGCCATACTGCACTGTGGGGAGGCCCCTTTGTCCAGAATGCCTGGAATCTTCAGAGCCAGCATGCAGGGAAGACTAGGTCTGCTGAAACATGAAGACCACAGCTGCCCCTCCTCACAGGGGCTTTGTCCCTGAGAGATCAGAATTCTGCCTGTAAAACCCTGGCTGGAGTTGCTGAAATTCCCACAGGGAGGCCCAACCAGTAAAAAGGAATAGATCTGGGTCCCACCTAAGGAAGCAGTCTGGCAAGGATCTGCCACAGTCACTGTCCTGTGCTGTGGGGAACTCTTCCCAATCCAAACCACCCAGTCTCTTTGGCACCAGCAGGGGAAAGCAGCCAACTGAACCCACAGTGATGGCAGCTGCACCTACCCCTGGAAACTCAGCAGTCTTAAGCACTATTCAGCTTGCTGACACTGGCTGCATCTGCAAAGCTCTGTGCTTGATACCCAAGGCCCTGGTGTTGTGGGCTCACGAGGAGATTTCTTTATCTGCAGGTTACACAGATCCATGGAAAAAGCATGGTTACTTGGCCGGGGTCACACAATTACTCACCACCTCCCTTGGCTGCAGGTGAGAGCTCCTCTTGCCCCATGTGGCTCCCTGGTGGGCTGTTGCTCCACTCTGCTTTTTCTTGCTCTCTGTGGGTTGGACCTACTGCCTAGTCAGTTTCAATGAAAGAACCTCGATACCTCAGCTGAACATGCAGGATTCACTTGCTATTTTCATTCTTTGTGGGAGCTGATGATGGCAGCTGCTTCTAGTCAGACATCTTAGACCCTCCCCCTGTAGTGTAGTTTTAAGTTAAGAAACATAATGTCTCCAGCTTTGTTCTTTTTGCTTAGAATTACCTTGGCTATTTGAGTTATTTTTTGGTTTTATAAGAATTTTAACATAGTTCTTTTCTAGTTCTGTGCAAAATGTCATTGGTGGTGTGATATGAATAGCACTGAACCTGCAAATTGCTTTGGACAGTATAACCATCTTAATTATATTGATTCTTCTTATCCATGAGTATTGAATGTTTTTCTATTTACTTATGTCAACTCTGATTTCTCTGAGCAGTATTTTGTAATTGTAGAGATATTTCATCTCCCTAGTTAACTGTATTAATAGGTGTTTTATTGTTTTGGGGGTTAATACTATTGAGTTTTGCACATCAATTTTGTCTTCTGAAACTTTGCTGAAGTTGTTTATCAGCTAAAGGAGCTTTTTGACCAAGACTATGGGTTTAAATTTTATAAATATACTTTTCTGCATCCATGAAGATAATTATGTGATTTTTTGTCTTTATTTCTGTTTATGTGATGATCATACTTATTGATTTGCATATGTTGGACCAAACTTGCATCCTGGGAATCAGTCCCACTTGTGCTGCTGGATTTGGCTTGTCAGTATTTTATTAAAGAATTTTGCATCAATGTTCATCAAAGATATTGGCCTGAATTATTTTTTTCATTTTGTTTTTGCCAGGTTTTTGTATCAGGGTGACGCTGGTGTCATATAATGAGTTGGGGAGGTATCTCTTTTCCTCAAACTTTTGAAATAATTTCAGTAGAAATGGTACCAGCTATGCTTTGTACATCTGGTAAAATTCATTTGTGAATACATCTGGTCCTGTGCTTTTTTGTTGTCGGTAGGCTATTTATTACTGATTCAATATTGAAGCTCATTATTTGTCTGTTCAGAGGAATCATTTTCTTTCTGTTTCAGTCTTTGGAGAATGTATTTGTCCAGAAATTTGTCTATTTCTTCTAGGTTTTTTAGTTTGTATGCATGGAGATTTTCATAGTAGTTTCTGATGGTTATTTTTATTTATTTGGTGTCAGTAGTAACATCCCCTTTATCACTTCTAGTTGTGTTTATTTGAATATTCTCTCTTTTCCTCTTTATTAGTTTAGCTAGCAGCCTATTTTTGGAAAAAAAAAACCCAACTCCTGGATTTGTGGATCTTTGAAATGCTTTTTTTTTTTAATGTGTCTCAATTTTTTTTTTCAGTTTAGCTCTGATTTTGGTTATTTCTTGTTTTCTGCTAGCTTTGAGGTTGGTTTGTTCTTGCTTTTCTAATTAGTTTGGTTTTGGTGCTAGACTGTTTATTTGAGACCTTTCTAACTTTTTGATATTGGTATTTAATGTTATAAGTTTCCATCTTAACACAGTCTTAGCTATGCTCTAGAGATCCTGGTATGTTGTATCTTTGTTCTCGTTAGTTTACAATAACTTCTTGATTTCTGCTTTAATTTCATTATCTACCCAGAAGCCATTAAAAAGCATGTTGTTTAATTTTCATGTAATTGCATGGTTTTGAGCATTTTTAAGTCTTTATTTCTATTTTATTGTGCTGTGGTGTGAGAGTGAGATTGATATGATTTTGGTTATTTTGTATTCATTCAGGATTGCTATATATTCTATTATGTGGTTGATTTTAGAGCATGTGCCATGTGGCCATGAGAAGAATGTGTATTCTGTTACTTTTTGGTGGAGATTTCTGTAGAGGTCTGTAAGATCCATTTGGTCCAATGTTGAATTCAGGTCCTGAATATCTTTGTTAATTATCTGCCTCAACAATCTGTCTAGTATTGTCAGTGGAGTGTTGAAATCTCCCACTATTATTGCGTGGGAGTCTAAGTCTCTCTGTAGGTCTCTATGAACTTGCTTTCTGAATCTGGATGCTCCTGTGTTGGGTAAATATATATTTAAGGTAGTGAGTTCTTTTTTTTTTTAATTGAACCTTTTACCATTATATATTTCCTTTCTTTCTTTCTTTTTTCTTTCTTTCTTTCTTTGTTTCTTTGTTTCTTTCTTTCTTTCTTTTTTTTTTTTATCTTTGTTGGCTTAAGGTCTATTTTGTCTGAAATTAGAATTGCAACCCCTGCTGTTTTCTGATTTCCATCTGCTTGGTAAATTTTCCATCATCCGTTTATTTTCAGCAAATGGGTATCATTACATATGAGATGGGTCTCTTGAAGATAGCATACCATTGTGTCTTTTTTTATTTAGATTGCCACTTTGTGCCTTTTAAGTGGGGCATTTAGTATATTAACATTCGAGGATAGTATTGATATGTGTGGACTTGATTCTGTCATCATGTTGTTAGCTGGTTATTATGCTGGATTGTTTGTGTGGTTGCTTTATAATGTCACTGGTCTGTGTATTTAAGCCTGTTTTTCTATTAACTGGTAATGGGCTTTCCTTCTTATAGTTAGTACTCCTTTCAAGATCTCTTGTAAAGCATGACTGGTGTTAATACATTCCCTCAACATTTGTTTACTGAAAAGCATCTTATTTCTCTTTTGCTTAGGAAGCTAAGTTCAGCTTAATTTAAAACTCTTGGTTGAAGATTTTTTATTTAAGAATGTTGAATATAAGGAAGCAATCTCTTCTGGCTTATAGGGTTTCTCCTGAAAGGTCCACTGTTAGCCTAATGGTGACTTGCTCTTTCTCTCTGGCTGTATTTAACATTGTTTCCTTCATTTCAACCTTGGAAAATCTGATGTTTATGTGTCTTGTGAATGATATTCTTGTGTAGCATCTTGTAGCATCCTCTGTATTTACTGAATATAACTGTTGGCCTCTGTAGCAATGCTGGGGAAGTTTTCATGGATGATATCGTGAAGTGTGTTTTCCAAGTTGTTTGCTCTCTCTTGGTTCTTTTCGGGGATGTCAACAATTCATGGATTTGGCCTCTTTACATAACCCCATATTTCTCAGAGGTTTTGTTCATTTTATTCATTCTCTTTACTTCATTTTTGTCTGTCTTATTTCAGAAAGCTAGCCTTCAATTTCTGAGATTCTTTCCTCAGCTTGGTCTCTTGTGCCATTAATACTTGCAATTGTATTGTAAAATTCTTGCAGTGTGTTTTTCAGCTGAGAAATCCATTAATGTATGTGTGTATATATATATGTGTGTGTGTGTATATATATACATATATATGTGTATATATGTGTGTGTGTGTATATATATATAAACATTTCATCTGTCAGCTCCTGCATCAACTTATGATTAGTAAGTTCCTTGGATTGAATTTTGCCATTCTCCTGAATCTCGATGATCTTCATTCCAATTCATATTCTGAATTCTATTTCTGTTATTTCAGCCAACTCAGCCTGGCTAAGAACGCTTGTTGGAGAGCTAGTGTGGTCATTTGGAGGACATAAGACACACTGGCCACTTCAGTTACCAGAGCTCTTGCATTATTCTTTCTCAGCTCTATGTCTTTGTGCTCCTTTAACTGCAGTGTAGATTTAGTACAGTCAATAGACTTCTAGATATTTTCAGTGGGCCAAGGCTTTGTGCAGGGTCTTTATTTGCAGCTGATGAATCTAAAATAAAAGTTGAAATTCTAAAAAAAATTTTCACTGAAAATAAGACAATATTTAAAACTCGCCTGTATGTCCTAATATTGTACCTCTTAGAGACTTAATAATAGCTGCCAGAGTAAAGTGATGATGTGTAGTCATGGCTGCGGGAAGAATCAGCTCAGGAGCTGATTAAAATTAGAGCCAGAGCTGGGCTCAGTGACTGAATTACGAAGAAGCCTGTTTTCCCCAGTGCAATAAGATTGCATATATATGTTGCCTAAACACTAGAGAGGATGAGGCTTCTGGTGTCACAGTATATGTGGTTTAAAACATACAGATTATGGGGTCCACGCTCTCAGGCATTTATAGTCCTAAATAAATCCATAGAAAATAATGGCTTGTAGCAATTCTCTCAACTGTGCACACCAGATTGGTCCAGAAAACGAAAGTGAACCAGATATGTATTAACTACTTTAAACATATATATTTTCTGGATGAAAAGCGCTCATACCATTTCCATTGCTGAAAAGTCAAAATACCCTGAGAAGACACCAGTAACAATGTAGAAACCATTTGCAGATTGAACAGAATATACGAATAATAACCAAGCTTGAAACTGATACAGGAGACAGAAAGAAATTATTTAGGTAAATGGTGAGGGCAAAAGAGTTCTCCGCAGAACTTCCCTTCTAACAAAAAGCAGCAGCGGTGGATATCATTTATTGTTCTAACAAAGAGCAGCCTGAAAAATCGGGCTGCATACATAAATAAGGAAGCTGGAAGCTTGCACAGGGGAATGCTAACAGCTGTACCAATAGGAAAGGGCTACCTGGGGGCCAGGATGTTCACTATGGAAGCTACATTTTCCCTTTTTTGTTAGCACGTGTACAGAAAAAAAAAATGCACGTGGACCAGCTCAGGCTGGAAATCCGCCTGCATAAAAAAAAAAAAACTGGGGTGGGGGCTGCCAGAGATTCATGTCCTATGCAAAATGGCACACCTGATTCTAACCAGTTTTTTTGTGCCCTATGTAAATCAGAAACTGCCTCCCTACCAGCTCATCCATAAAACGCCCTGCATTTCACCGTGGATCGGCAACCCATTTTTCTGGGACCCCTCTCTGTAGCAGAAACCTATTCTCTTTCTTTCACCTATTAAACCTCTGCTCTTAATCTCACTCTTTGTGTGTCTGGGTCCTTAATCTCCATGGCTATGAAACAACAAACCTCAGGTGTCACCCCAAGCAACGAGGCCGCTTCAAAAAGACTGCCTGAGGCTTTTTACAAAGTTAGAACTTTCATCTTAATATTACCTAAAACACCTCATTCTCATCTTTTTTTCTATTTAGTAGTGAACTAAATTTGCCACTTAACTCTGAGATGCCTTTAGTTTTTCTTCCTCATTCCCTGTTTCTCTAACTTCTACTCTGAGTCTCATTCACTTGAAAAATATGAAAAAAACAAAAATGAGAAAGTAAATACACTTCACCTCTACTTAAGAGATGTACAAGCAGGTATAACTAATCAAATAATTGATTTAGATATCTCAAAATCATTAATTATACTTTAAAGTGACCTTTGCAGCTGTGGTAGCTTCCGTTGTTAAGGAAACAATCTCTCGTAAATTGAATTACAAACTCATTTTTTAAAAGCCAACTATAACAAAAATAGACCTAAAACTGAGATGTCTGGTGTACAGAGGAAAACATACTTTTAAGATGAATCAACTCTGCTAGATATTCTGTCTATAATATCAGACTTGTATATATTTTTAGCATTTAAGTTGGATAATTTGCATTTTGTTAGCTGTTAGGTATTAGTGAAAGGCTGCTTTCTCTGATGAAAACCAATCAATCAGCCAATACTAGAGCAAATATTTTCTGAGACCTGGAGAAGTCTCTTTTTTTTAAGGCTATATTAAAAGAATGTTCATATATTCATTCTTTTTTGGTATTAACAATGGTAGTTGTTGTGTGCGGCACTGAACACCTGGTGGCATTTAAAAAAGCAGATTTTCGAATACATTATGGAACTTCTCAATCTGCTTCAAGTTGTTCAGAAAGGCACACAAAACATTCTCTTGCAGTCTTTGCAAAAATAGTCCTTTCTTGTGAGAGGCAACCAATAGCAGATGACCACCCTGCAAACATTCAACCAACCAGCCAAACAAACAAAAAGCTATAGTAAAATAAATAAATTATAAAACATTTCGAGAAAGAAATTTAGTTGTTCTGAGATTGCTGTTGACAGGTATTCTAGAATGAGCAATCTTCCCAAGACAGATTATCCACTGGTGTACGTTTAAGACACTGTTGGAAAAGTAGGGATATATTTGCCTGCAAGAGGTAGACATGACATAAACTTTCACACACAACAGTAGCATACAGGCCTACAATAAAGTTAAACATATTTTTCTTTCTGAGCTATAGTAAAAATATAATTGTGTCAGTTGCTCTTTCTACCATACCATTTCTCTAATACCACCAATAAAATAATTTTGAAAACGAATACATGCCATCTAAATTTGTACATGGTTCATATTTCCATTACATGCATTGTTCCTCTGAGTTCCCATGTCACAGTGTGTCTTATTTTTAGCACTTCTTACATGATACTGTAGTTAGACTCTATGCTCCTGTCTGGTAGGGTTGCTGTGAAAATTAAAGGAAATAAAGTACATACAGTAATTGGCACAAAGTAGGCATTCACCAACCAATATCCCTTATATTGATCAAGTAGGCTTCTGTCTGCCTAGATAATTTAAGAGGTCTCAGTAAAGGCCCCTTATTCTCCAAAATATCTCCCCATGATCCCTTCATTTATGCCCAGAATGCCATCATTAATCTTCTTTCTTATCTTTTCTCTTTCCTTTCCTTCCTTCTTCCTTCCTACCTCCCATTTGTTTTCATGTTCTATCAAAATACCTATTGGGGTAGACATTGCTAGTTTTATATCCCCTTTTTTTCTTACTAACGGAAGCCTGTTTTCATTAATCACAGTAATGCGCCAGCTAAAAATAACTTTATTTCCTAATTTTTGTTTAGTGCTGTTAAATAATTAGGAGTAGCCATGAGACACAGTTCTGACCAATGAGACATACGAGAAAGTCTCTGGGCAGTGTATTTCTTTCTGATCTAAAAGGTGAGATCTTTCTAGAAGAAACTCCTTCACCATTTCGTCCCTTCCTACTCACCTCTTTTTCCTTCCAGAACCTCAGTTTTAAAGCCCAGAAGCTCAATAGTTATCTTACAATCATGAAGCAACAAGCATGAGAGCAAAAGTCTATATTGCAAGAATGGAAAAAGAGGATGTTGAAAGGAATCTAAATCTTTGATGGCATCATTGAGCTACAGTAGTAACAACTAGGCTGCCTGCTCCCAAACTTATATGTTTATGGCTTTATAATAATGTTATCTGTTATTTGCAGCATAGTACATTCTTAATTCACACAACAGTCTTCCTAAGTGAGATAACATATCAGTTACCTCTATTCTATCCAATCATTTGCAATATGAAAGTTCCACAGAGGGTTTTTATAATAGAGAGAAAGGACATACCCAGAACATCTTTTAGGTGAAACAGGTCTGGAAGTATGCTAGGAGACAGTATGAAAGTACTGGGTACCTACCAAAGAAAGGAGATGGTTTATTTCAGGTAAAGGGCATAGGACACGTAGCAATTTGTCTAGGGGCCAAATTGCTATGAAACTATTAAATGTTAGCACATTTTGCTATGAGCCTTAGTCTGATTGCCTTGGTCTAGTAGTTTCCCTAGCATATTTGATGGAGAAAAATGAGTGGGATTTGCAATTTTATACAGTAGCCAAAGGGCTTGTTACACATATCTGTCCGGGATTATTCTCAGTACTGATTTTTGTCTTCCTCCATGGGCCAACATCTCCTTCTTCATTTGTTATAGTAAATACTAAAAGCATTTTCCCCCCAGAATTTATAGATCTCTCAAAGTCAGTCATTAAGTGTTTAAGTAATGTGGCCCCGAACTCACCCCAGACTGTTTTGAGTTTTAAAA